>NC_000004.12:131345623-131648653 GCF_000001405.40 Homo sapiens | reverse complement strand
AATAATTGCCCTCATTACATATTATTTATGTATTCTCCAACATAAGCATACACATCAATATATACATGCATTATATATCTTCTCATATATATTCTTTATATATACACACACTATATATTTTATAATGTATATCCTCTAGTGTAAAGGCTTATGTGTATATATACACACAGACCCACTGGGTGTGAGTGCACGCATGTGTGTGTGGGAAGAGAGAAAGAAAATGAAAAATACTACATTTTCCTTAAACCAAACCACTCTAGCCATTGAAGATTCCCAAGAATATGCAATAACAACTGCTATTAAATTTTAAATAAGAAAATATTGTATATTTAATTTATAAAATACAATAAGAATAACTTGCACATTGTGGCTGAAAATATCTTATTGTGAGAAAGCTGTATATAATTAAACTGTTGAGGGTATAATAGAGGTGATGGATATATAGGTACTCATTGTAAAAATATTTTAGCTACTTTGGGTGCTTGAAAAGGTAATAAAATGTTGGGAAAGATGTGCAATAAAAACAAGTGTATAGCTCAATGTATTTTTACAAAGTCAATATATTAATATAACCAGCTCCCAAATGAAAGCAGAAAACTTTACCAGAATGACAAAAGTCCATTCTACTCACTTCCAGTAACCAAATTCCTCAATGTCAACTTCCTAATGACAAAATTAATTGTTATTGTTTCTACACTTTATATAAATGGGATCACACACGTCATTTACTCTTTGTGTCTGGATTCTTTATCTCATTATTATGTCTGTGAAGTTCATCCATATTGTAACAGGAAATTTATAGTTTGTGGCTGAATACAGTAGGACTTATTTATTCACTCATCTGTTGATCAAAGTTTGGATTCTATCTAGTTTTTAGCTATTATATAGAGAGCTGTCACAAATACTGTTTCACAAGTGTGTGTGCCTGTGAATATGTGCGTGCATATATGTTGAATATTGATAGACACTGAGATGCACCCATCCAGATTCAGATAGAAAGTGCTGCTAGTTTTAAAGTTTTTGGTCAGCAAACAACCACCAACTAGCAGCCCCTTCAGAATCAGCCCCAGGTACAGACAGTGGCTTTGTCTGTGGTCACAACCTTGCTGGAGACCCTGCATCTGGTTACTGAGTGAGGATAGGTAAGGATACAGAGGCTTGGGCTATTTCAGGCTGTCAGGAGACAGTTTTGGCAGGCACTTCTTCCTGCAGAGCTTTCCATAGGCTTGACTGAGGCTTTATCAAATTTGCTTTGCAGTTCAATTCCTGCTTTTGTCCAACTCTGTCTCCTTCTACTTGCTAAGTATTGATTTTCATAAACTTCTTACACACCAAATTCCACTTCTACTGTAAACTTCATCTCATTGTTGGCTTCTGGATGACCCAAACTACAATGTTTGTATACCTAGAAATAGACTTTTTTGGTCACAGGTATGTATATGCCCAACTTATTAATTAGTAGTAATAAGTACTACCAATCAATTAATGGGTACTAGCAATTAATTTTCCAAAATGTTAGCAACAATTTCATTCCTATAACAAGGGAATGATATTTCTGGTTTTTCCACATCGTTGTTAATAATTTATAGTGTCTTGTTTTTTCATTTTAGTCATTTTGCTTTAGGAATAGTGGTAACACTTTGAGATTTTAGTATACATTCATTTAATAATAATATTGAACTCATTCTCTGATACCTATTAGTTACCTGGATATATCCTATTAGGGTTGCTTTATGTCTTGATCAATTATCAATTTGAATTGGCTTTTTTAACTTGGCAAATATTTTTTAATGTATTTGGTTATTAGTTTATTATGAAAGGTATGTGTTGCCATTATGTTTTCCTTCCTTATAGACTCCACTTTATTGCTTCAGTGTTGTCTTTTGATCACAAACATTCACTTTAACATAGCCAAATTAAATTTTTTGTAATCTTCTGGTAATTTTTGTGTTTAAAATGTTTCTGTTTAATCTAAGGCTATATTTATCAGATTTTTAATCAAAGTTTTACATTTTTTCATTTCTTATGAGGATCTGCATTCAATCTGAAATTTACTTTTGTGCATGTTATAGGTAGAGGATTAATATACAATTTTCAAATGAAGAGTTAATTGACAAGCTTCGTTTATTAAAATATCCTTCCTACCAGGTTGGACTGTGGTGTCACATTTATCATAAATTAGGTGACCACATCTATTTGAGCTCTTACTGGACTCTGCTTCATTGGTCTATTCTCTATTAAAAGCCAGAAATGTTCTGATTTGACACTGGGGCCATACTGTTGTAATTACTGTAGCTTTACAACATATTTTGATAGCACTTAGTTTAAAATATCCAGCTTTTTCTTCTTTTTCAGGATTGTTTTGTTTATTACTGACCATTTATATTTCCATAAAAACTTCAGAAATGTCTGTCAATATTCACATACACACCTACCTACCTAATATAGTAATAAATATCAAATCTTCTAATCAGTGAACAAGACATGTCCTCAATCTATTTAGAATGTTTTTACTTATCTAAACATTTTTCATAATTTCCTTTTTTAAATTCCTCAATCATTATTATGACACAACTAAATTGTCCCCTATTTCTCAATTTTCATTTTGTTCCTGTTGAAATTTATAACAAAATTAATGTTTCATTTAAATCATTTTAACAATGCCATGCTTCATTAATTATAGCTTCTGCCTTCTGAATGGTCTTTGGTTGCTATTATTTCTATCACATTTAATTATCCTATGTTCAATATTGCAGATCTACATTTTGTCAAATATTTTTTGATTTGTTTTTGTTTTTCTTTTTTTATGGTAAGAACTCTTAATATAAGATCATCACTTTAGCAATATTTTAATATTTAATACAATATTTTAAGTATACAATGCCTGCCCACATTAATATATTATTATATATAATATATAATTTATCATATATACATTATAATATGTATTATAATTAATATATATTTTTATATATTCTCTGTTGTACAGCAGAGATTTTAGCAACATTTTAAGTGTACAATGCCTGCCCTCATTATATATTTTTTTATATATATTCTCTGTTATACAGCAGTTCTCTAACAGGACCACAGATGAGCTGCCTAGGGAAGAAGGAGCTGGAGGTTTGGGCTGGTCGATGCCATTGAATGACATACCTGCTTAGCACATAAGAAGCTGAGGAAAAATTCCAGCTCTTAGCTTCCCACTGGGAATGAAAATAGTTGACCTTTGTATCCCATGTGCTAAATCTTTAAAAAATATTATTTAGAATGGTATTTTTAAATTTGTTGCTGTATTCCCTTTACAAGAATTGGCATAGTAATTCTGCATCTGTGTTCATAACAGAATTGAAACTGATTTTATTTCCTGTTTAGTGTTCTTTTGGTGTCAAGTTTTTGCTGCTTTAATGAAAGGGAGAGGCACTCCAGCTTCTGCTTAGAATGTAAAACTAGAAAAGGTGTCACTCGCCTGTTAACAACAAGACAAAGCCAGATAATCTATGAAACCTTGAACATATTACAGAGTTAAGGCTGGAAGCCAACCAAATAACCTGATATCTAAGAAAAAAAAAATGGACCTCCAAGGAGAGACATGAACACAAGCACTCCCTTCCTCGGAGTGGAGTACAGGAAAAATATGGAACCAACACAGAAGCAGATAAGATCCAGTTACAATTTTTAATGAATTGCTAGAAGCCAAGTATGACCTGAGTACTACAAAATATCTTAAGGCTACACACAAAAGATGCATTTGCACAGACTTACAACTCCTCTCTACAAACAACTTTATGTGATCATGAGAAAGACTGGGAACAAACAGGAAGCTGTGGAAACCTTCAGGGGGCAGTGCAGGCAAGGGAGATGGTATGAGCCATTCCTTAGGTAGGGAGGCCTTGTTACCTCTCTCCCGTCTCTCCTAGGGAATGGCTCAAACCTCTGCCTGGATAAATAAAGCAAACACTGTCACTTACAATATACACATTTAAATAACAGCTAGTTTCATGAAAGGAAATTTCTTCATAAATCTCCTCTTAAAAATTTCAGATCATGGAATTTTCAAGGATAATCGAAAAATGTCTTCCAAAAACCAAGTTTTCACCTTTTCAAATAAACAAAATGCAGTTGGTTCAGATCTAATCAATGTGTTATAATGCTTGAAATTTTAGACTAAACTCATTTAACTGCATTAAGCAAAAGAGCACCTCAATATTGCTCCTGAAGAACATTTGATTGCTACTGCAATAGAGCTAAAAACATTGCTTTTCAGTAAATAAATTAATGGGCATGCTGGATAGATTTATTTGACACTTTCATCTTAAGCAATGAAGAGGATTTCTGAAGCGCAGAAATTTTGTGCAAGAGTCATTTAATCAGTCTTAATTACACTAAATGGTTGACATAACTCAGTTACTTTTCTTTTTACTGATTTTTAATAGTTAAGTAATATCAAGTAAATCAGTTAAGATGATTTTGGCCTCAAATAACAGAATGTGGAAATAAACATGTTATTATATAAGAAATATTAATTGATTTAGTGCTTTAATAATTTTTGCTTTGGATTCTAAGTGATTATTTTGGCTTCATTCTGATGTTTTCACAATGGTTCCCGAAGCTCTAAGCATTATACTCTTATATGACTTTATCCAAAGGCAGTAAAATGTTAGCTTCTCTACTATGTCCTATTTTGACTGCTTTCTCAGAAACCTCAATGGACTCACCTTAGAGGTGTGAGGGTCTGTGGAGTAGGTGGAGTTGATTGTACCTATATGTCCCATGAGGAGGCAGTTGTGAAAAAGGTATCTGGACTGAACACACTGAGGAACTGGAAGACTACAGAAAACTGGAAACTGTGTCAAGGGTGACTAAGCCCTGCTTCTTTATGAGACAGTTAAAAAAGATTCACAACGGACTCTGAGGCAACAAAATTGTAAGAATTCTGCCACAGAGGTGATATTTCATTATGGTTTTGACTTGCATTTTCCTGATGATTAGTAATTGTTTAAACACCTTTTCATACACCTGTTATCCATTTGTGTATCTTCTTTGGAGAAGTATCTATTCAGTTTCTTTGACCATCTTTTAATCAGGTTATGAATTTTTTAAGCTATTCATTTGTAGTACTTCCTTAATTATTTTGAAGATTAACACCTTGTCAGATACATGGTTTGAAAATATTTTCTCCCATTTTACAGGTTGCTTTTTTGAAACTCTGTTGATTTTTTCCTTTTCGGTAAAGACTTTTTTTTTAGCTTGATGGATTCCCACTTGTTTATTTTTGTTGTGTTGTCTGTGCTTTTGTCAACAATCACATATATATCCATGAAATCATTGCCAAGGTCAATGTCATGAAGCATTTTCCTACATTTTCTTCTAGAAATTTTAGTCTCAGGTATTATATTTTTATGTCTAATCACTTTTCAGTTGATTTTTGTGTGTGGTGTAAGATAAGCATTCAATATCATTCTTTTGCATGTGAATATTTAGTTTTCCCAACACCACTTGTTGAAGAGACTGTCCTTCCCCTCATTGTGTATTTTGGCACCCATTTTGAAGATCAGTTGACTATATATGTTAGGATTCAGTTTTTTGAAATCTCTATTCTGTTTCATTGGTTGATATGTTTGTCTTCATGCCAGTACCAACTATTTTTTTTTTACTACTGTAGCTTTGAAATCAAGAAGTATAGGGCCTCCAGTTTTGTTCCTCTTCTCTCTAAGTCAGTTTGGCACTTTATAATCTTGTGTGGTTAGATATGAATTTTAGATTTTTTTTTTCTAGTTCTGTAAAAATGCTACTGGGAAATTGGTAGAGATTGCACTGAATGTGTAAATAGCTTTACATAGTGTAATTATTATAACAATAATAATTCTTCCATTACATGAACACAGGATATATTTAAATTCGTTTATTTCTTGTTCAATGCTTTTCATCAGTGTTTTATAATTTTCAGTGTACAAGTCATTCACATCTTTAGTTAAGTTTATTCTTAAGTATTTCATTCTTTTTGGTGCAAGAAAATGCCACATAGTTTTATTTTTGCAGGTTCATAGGTGTATATATTAATGGGGTACACAATAAACCCTGATACAGGCATGCAATGTGTAATAATTACAGCATGGAAAATAGGGTATCCATCCCCTCAAGCATTGATCCATTGTGTTCCAACAAATTATACTCTTTTGGCTATTTTAAAAGATACAATTAAATTATTATTGACTATGGTCACCCTGTTGTGCTAGCAAATAGTATGTCTTATTCATAGTATTTAACTATTTAACTATTTTTATTTTGTATTCATTAACCATCAACTCTTCCCTGCCCCCTACATTCACCTCAAAACTTCCCAACCTCTGATAACCATCTTTCTACTTTCTATCTCCCTGGGTTTAATTATTTTGATTTTTCACTGCCACAAATAAGTGAGGAGATGTAAAGTTTGTCTTTCTGTGTCTGACTTATTTCACTTAATATAATGACCTTCATTTCCATCTATGTTGTTGCAAACAACAGGATCTCATCATTTTTTATGGCTACATGGTACTCCATTGTGTATATATACAATATTTTGTTTATTTACTTATCTGTTGATGGACATTTGGGTTGCTTTCAAATCTTGGCTGTTGTGAACAGTGTTGCAACAAACATGAGAGTGCAGATATCTCTTCAATATACTTTGGGGGTGGATACCAAGCAGTGGGATTGCTGAATTATATACTAGCTCTATTTTTAGTTTTCCTTGAGGAAGCTCCAAACTGTTCTCCATGGAGGTTGTACTAATTTACATTCCTACCAACAATGTATAAGGATTCCTTTTTTCTCCACATTCTTGTCAGCATTTGTTATTGCCCGTCTTTTGGATATAAGCCATTTTAACTGAGTGAGATGATATCTCATTGTAGTTTTGATTTGCATTTCTCTGATGATCAATGATGCTGAGCACCTTTTTATATGCCTATTTGCCATTTGTATGTCTTCTTTTGAGAAATGTGTATTAAAATCTTTTGCAAATTTTTAAAATGGATTATTAGTTTTTGTTCCTGTAGGGTCATTTGAGCTCCTTTTATAATATGGTTATAAAGTCCATGTCAGATTGGTAGTTTGCAAATATTTTCTCCCATTCTGTGGGTCATTTCTTCACTTTTTGAATTGTTTTCTTTGCTGTGCAGAAGATTTTTAACTTGATGTGAACCATTTAACCATTTTTGCTTTGCCTGAGTGTGCTTGTAAGGTATTACTCAAGAAACTTTTTGCTCAAACCAGTGTTCCAGGGAGTTTCTCCAATATTTTCTTGTAGTAATTTCACAGCTTAAGGTTTCAAATTTAAGTCTTCAGTCTATTTTTATTTGACTTTTGTATATGTGACAGATAAGGGTCTAGTTTCATTCTTCTGTATATGGTCATCCAGTTTTCCTAGCACCATTTATTGTAGAGACTGTCATTTTCCAAGTGCATGTTCTTGGCAACTTTGTTTAAAATGAGTTCACTGCAGGTGTGTGGATTTGTTTCTGGGTTCTTTTTTCAATTCCATTGTTCAATGTGTTTATTTTATGTTAGTATCATGCTGTTTTGATTACTATACCTCTGTCGTATAATCAGAAGTCAGAGAAAGTGATTCCTCTAGTTTTGTTCTTTTTGCTCATGATAGTTTTGGCTCTTTTGGATTTTTTATGGTTCCATATAAATTTTAAGTTTTTTTTTTCTATTTCTGTCAAGAAAGTCATTGGTATTTTGATAGGGATTGCATTGCATCTGTAGATTGCTTTGGGTAGTATGGACATTTTAACATTATTGACTCTTCTAATTCATGAACATGAAATATCTTTCCATTTGTGTGTGTGTGCGTGTGTGTGTGTCCCCTTCAAATTCTTTCATCAGTGGTTAATAATTTTTATTGTAGAGATATTTTACTTCTTTGGTTAAGTCAATTCCTAGATGTTTAATTTTATGTGTGGCTATTGTAAATGGGATTTTTTAAAATTTCTTTTTTGGATTGTTCCCTGTTGGCATATAGAAATGCTACAAATTTTTGTATGTTGATTTTGTATGCTGCAACTGTATTGAATTAGTTTATCTGTTCTAACAGTTTGTGTGTGTGTGTGTGTGTGTGTGTGTGTGTGTGTGTGTGTGTGTTTTGGTGTCTTTAGGTTTTTCCAAATATAAGATCATTTCATCTGCAAAAACAAGAAAAGTTTGACTTTTTCCATTTAAATTTGGATGGGCTTTATTTCTTTCTCTTTTCCTATTGCATTAGCTCGGACTTCCAGTATTATGTTGAGTAACAGTGGTGAAAGTGGGCATCTGTCATGTTCCAAACCTTGGAGGAAAGGCTTTCAGTTTTTTTCCCATTCGGTATGACACTAGCTTTGGATCTGTTGTATACTGCTTTTATCATATTAAGGTATGTTCTTTCTACACCTAGCTTTTGGAAGGTTTTATCATAAGGAGATGTTGAATTTTATCAAATGGTTTTTCAGCATAATTTGAAATGTTCATATGGTTTACAACCTTCATTCTGTTGATATGATGTATCATATTGATTTATTTGCATATGTTGAATCATCCTTGTATTTCTGGGATAAATCTAATTGATTATGATGAATGATCTTTCAGTGTATTGTTGAATTCAGTTTGTATCTTGCTGAAGACTTTTGTATCAAGTTTATCAGAGAGATATTTGCCTGTAGTTTTCTTTTTTTGATGTGTCTTCGTCTGGTTTTGATGTGAGGGTAATACTGGACTTATAGAGTGAGCTTGGAAGTATTATGTCTTCCTCTATTTTTTGGAATACTTCCAGGAGGACTAGTATCAGATTTTATTTAAATATTTGGTAGAGTTCAGCAGTGAAGTCATCACATCCAAGACATTTTATTATGGCTTTGCTCTTGTTGCTTGTTATTGGTCTGAAGGTTTTGGATTTTTTTTCATGGCTCAGACTTGGTAGGTCATATGTGTCTGAGAATTTATCCATTTTCACTAAATTTTCTAATTTGTTGGCATACAGTTGCTCACAGTAGCCACTAATAAACCTTTGAATTTTTGTAGTATCAGGGGTAGTGTTTCCTTTTTCATTTCTGGTTTTATTTATTTGGGTCTTCTCTCTTCTTTTTCTTCATTAGTCTGGCTAAAGGATTGTCAATTTTGTTTATCTTTTCAAAAAAAGAAATTTTTTGTTTCCTTGATCTTTCATACTTTCTTGGTTTCAAGTTCATTTACTTCTGCTCTGATATTATTTATTTTCTTCTATTAATTTGGGTTGGCTTGCTCTTGCTTTTCTAGTTCTTTAAAATGCATTATTAGGTTATTTATTTGTAGAGTTTCTTTTTTCTCTTTTTTGATGTAGATATTTACAGCTATAAATTTGTCTCTTGGTACTGCTTTTGCTGTCTTCCATAGGTTTTGGTATGTTCTTTTTCCACTTACCATTTCTTTCCAGATATTTTTCGATTTCTTTCTTAATTTCTTATTGACCCACTGGTCATTGAGAAGCATACAGTTTAATTTCCGTGTGCTTGTATAGTTTTCAAAATTCCTCTTGTTATTGACTTTTAGTTTTATTCCATTGTGGCCAGGGAACATACTTGATATTATTTCAATTTTTTGAATGTTTTAATACTTATTTTGTGACCTAACACATGGTTTCTTCTTGAGGATGAGTCATGTGCTGTGGAGAAGAACGTTTATTTTGCAGCCCTTAGATAAAATGTTCTGTAAATGTCTATTAAGTCTACTTGATCTACAGTACAGATTAAGTCTAAAGTTTCTTTGTTGATTTTCTGTCTGGATTATCTGTCTAAAACTGAAAGTGGGATGTTAAAGACTTCAGCTATTGTTGTGTCAAGGTCTATCTCTCTCTTTAGCTCTAATAATATTTGTTTTATGTGGGTGCTCCAGTATTGGGTGCACATATATTTACAATTTTTATATTATCTTGCTGAATTGACCTCTTTATCATTATATAATGATATTTTTGGTTTTTTTTTTACAGTTTTTGTCTTGAAATCTATTTTGTCTGATGTAAGAATAGCTACCCTTGCTCTCTTTTGGTTTCCATTGGCATGGGATATATATTTCCATGTTTTCATTTTCAATTTATATGCATCTTTATAGGTGAAGTGTGTTTTTTGTAGGTAACAGATCACTGGGTCTTGCTTTTTTATCCATTCAGTCACTCTATGTCTTTTGATTAAAGAGATTAGTCCATTTACATTCAATGTTATTATTGATAAGTAAGAACTTACTCATTGTTACTTATTTTATGATTGCTTTATGGTGTTATCTTTCTTCTTTCCTTTCTCTTCTGTCTTCCTTTTAGTGAAGTTGATTTTCTCCATTATTTAATTTTTTGCTGTTTAATTTTTGTGTATTCATTATATGTTTTTCAATTTGATGTTATCATGAGGTTTGCAAATACTCTCTTATAACACATTATTTTAAATTAATGACAACACTGCATAAACAATCAAATAAACAAACAAGCAAAAAAACTAATAAAAACTGTACACCTTAACTTCACTTCCTTTTCTTAACTTTCTGTTGTTTTTCTTGTTGTATTATACTGTCTATGTCTTGAAGAGTTATTTTAGTTATTATTTTTGATTGGTTAATCATTTTGTCTTTCTACTCAATATAAGAGTAGTTTACACATCACATTTGCAGGTTAGAATATTCTGTGTTTTTTTGTGTGCTATTACCAGTGAGTTTTATATCTTCAGATGATCTATTATTACTCATTAACGTTCTTCTCATTTATATTGAAGAACTCCCTTTAGTATTTCTTGCAGAACAGCTTTTCTTTGTTTGGGAAGGTTTCTATTTTTCCTTCATGCTTGATTTACCCTTTTGAAGCTATTTTCTAGATCTTGTGGGCATGCGTCATTCTTTTTAATTCTTCTTCCTTTTGTCTCCTCTGCCTGTGTATTTTCAAATAGCCTGTCTTCAAGCTCATTAATTCTTTCTTCCACTCTATCAATTCTGCTATTAAGAGACCACGATGCATTCTTCTGCATATTAATTGCACTTTTCAACTCTGGAGTATCTGCTTGACTCTCTTTAATAATTGTAGTCTTTTTGTTAAGCTTATCTGATAGAATTATGAATTCATTCTCTCTGTTATCTTGAATCTTTTTGACTTTCTTCAACACAGCTATTTTGAATTTTCCATATGAAAGGTCACTTGTCCATTTCTCCAGAATTGGTCCCTCATGCCTCATTCAGTTTATTTGGTGAAGTCATGTTTCCCCGAATGTGTTGATGCCTGTAGATGTTCTTTGGTGTATGGGCATTGAAGAGTTGGGCATTTACTGCACTTTTCACAGTCTGGGCTTATTTGTGCCTGTCTTTCTTGGGTAGGTTTTCCAGGTGTTCAAAGGAACTTGGGCCCCAGATCCAATAACGCTGTAGTACTTGTAGACTTGTAGAGGTTCCACCTTGGAGGTGTTGGTAAATGTCTGGGAAAATTCTCCAAATTACCAGGCAGAGACTATTTTCTTTTAACTTACTCTTTCTCAAATGAAAAAAAGTTTCTCTATGTGAGCTACACAACCTGGAACTAGGGGTGAAGAAACACAAGCTTCTCTGTGACCACCAACACTGTGACAGTGCTAAGTCAGATGTGAAGGGAGCAGAGCACTGAGTCTTGCTGAAGGCCCGCTGTAACCACTACCTGGTTAACACATATATTCACTCAAGTCCCTAGGGCTCTACAATCAGCTGGCAGCAAAGCCAGCCAGGATTCTGTCCCTACCTTCAATGTGGCAATTCCTGGGGAAATCTGGCTGGGGCCAGAGATGCTCTCTTCGAGCCAGGAATTAGAGTAAAAAACCTTAGAAATTCATCTGATGTTCTGTTCTACTGTTGCTATGCTGGCACTCAAAACACGATAGAAAGTCCTTCTTCCTCTTCTCTCCCCTTTTCATAGGCAGAGGAGTCTCTCTCTGTAGCCACCAGCGTGACCAGCCCACAATGCGCTCTAATCAGGCCACCACTGATGTTAACTTAAATCTCAAGGGCTCTTCAGTCAGCCTCTAGTGAATGCTTCCAGGCCTGAGATTCACCTTTCAGGGCAGTGGGATACTCTCTGGCTCAGAGAATGTTCAGAAATGCCGATCAAGAGCCTAGACCTGAATTCAGGAACCCCAAGAACCTGCTTGGTGCTCTATCTCACTGACTGAGTTGGTACCTAAGGCACAAAACAAAATCCTGTTTATTCTTTTCCCTGCTTTTCTCAAACAGGAGTCTCACCATAGCCACCACAGCTGGGAGTATGCTGGGTCATCCTGAAGCCAGCACATCTCAAAGCCCAAGGCCCACATCTTATTACCTGGGTATCATTGCTGGTTATTTAGGGACCAAGGGATTTTTAGTCAGCAAGGGATGAATCCTGCCTGGAATGGTTTTTTCCTTCAAGACAGTGGGTTCTATTTTGGCCCAAGGTGTGTCTAGAAATGCCATCCATGAGCTAAGGCCTATAATGCAGACTTAACAACTCTGCCTAGTGTCCTATACTACTGTGGCTGTGCTGGTATCCAAGATGTAAGATGAAGTCCTCTTTAGTCTTTAGTTTCTTCTCCTCAAGCAGAAGGAAGCAGTCACTTTTGTTGCTGTCAGCTGTGCAGCCTGAGTTTGGAAAAGGGGTGTGGCACAAGCACTCCCTTAGCTGCCCTTTCTGGTCTCTCTCTAGGTCATGTGCCAGCCTAATCCATTGTCTCAAAGCCAAGCCCACCATTAGGAGTTTCTTAGGCATTTCAGTCCTTATATCTTAGACTGCCTTTCAAGCTTACCTAGGATCCTAGATCACATTGGCTCATGTTGGCAAGGCCTGCCAAGGAATTCAAGTTCTGACTGCTGGAATGGGCAATTCCCCTCCACCTGGGTCTAGTCTAGGAGCTCCTTCCATTTTCAGGTACTACTTAGCTTAGCACAGCTTTGCTCTCCATTATAACAGGCCAGCACTGAGTTCAACGTAAAGTCTCACAATTGCTGCACTCTCCCTCTTCCAATCACATAGATTTCTCTGTGCCCCATGGTCACTACTGGGTGATGAGGGGAAAGTGGCACAAGTCCTTCCTTAGCTGCCATAGCTGGTGTCTCAGTAGGTCATGTGCCCTCCAAGTTCACTGGCTCTGAGCCCAGCTCAGGACAAGGACTTGCCAAGGAATTGCAGTACTTGTGACCTGGACTGCTCTTCAAGTTCACTTAGGGTTGCAGAGCACTTTAGCCTATGGTGGTAGGCTTGTCATAACTCACACTTTGATTTATGACACTCAAAGTGTCATAACTCTGGGATGGGTAACTCCCTTCTGGCTAAGACTGATCCAGAAGCTCCCTCAAAGGGCAAGCATTATCTGGGTACTGTTTGCATTCTGCTGTGACAAGGAAGCACTGAGTTCAATGGGAAGTCCCCCAGTAATTGAGTTTCTCTTGTCCTAAGCACACAAATTCTCCACACCAAGGGTTGCTGTTGGGAGCTGGGAGGCTGGTGGTGTCAGCAATGCATGACTGTCTCTCTTACCCACTTTCACTGGCTCTTTTGGCAATATAAAGTTAAAACTAGATGCTATGAGTGCTCACCTGATTTTTGCATTTTCTGATGATGCTTTCAGTGCATAGTTTGCTAGTTAAATTTGGTTTTCCTGTCAAAGTGCTTTATGGCTCGCCTAATTTTTGGTTCCTGTAGCACTGCTTTTATGTCTAGTTAGTTGTTAAAACATGGTGTTCCTGTGGAAAAAATAAACAGTATAGGTTTCTATTTAACCATCTTGCTCTGCTCCTCCCACATATTTTTAATGGTTTAAGTGACATATTTTTCCTAAGCTACGTTTCCTAAGGAAATGCATATATCTACTATGGTCTGAATATTTATGTCCCCCCAAAATTTATATGTTGAAATCCTAACTCCCAAGGTGATGGTATTAGTAGATGAAGAATTCAGAGATAATTAGGTCATGATGCCACAGCCCCATTATATCAGCGCTAGCCTGATATCAAAGCCAGATAACTACACTACAAGAAAACTACAGACAAATATTCCTAATAACCATGAATGCAAAAATCCTCAACAAAATATTTAAAGCTGAATTCAGCAGCTTATTAAAAGAATTACTTATCACGACTGTCTTAGTCCATTTTCACACTGCTATAAAGAATTGCCTGAGACTAAGTAATTTATAAAAGAAAGAGATTTAATTGGCTTACTGTTCCCCATGGCTGGGAGGCCTCAGGAAACTTACAATCATGGTGGAAGGGGAAACAGGTGCTTCTTACATGGTGGCAGGAGAGAGAGGAAGCAAAGGGGAAACAGCCCCTTATAAAATAATCATATCTCATGAGAACTCACTCACTATCATGAGAAGAGCACTGGGGAAACTGCTCCCATGATCCAATCACCTACAACCAGATCCTTCCCCCAACACCTGGGGATAACAATTCAAGATGAGATTTGGGCAGGGACAAAGTCAAACCATATCATTCTGCCCCTGGTCCCACTCAAATCTCACTTCCTCACATTTCAAAACACAATCGTGCCTTTTGAACAGTCTCCCAAAATCTTCACTCATTCCAGCATTATCTCAAAAGTTCAAGTTCAAAGTGTCATCTGAGACAAACTTTCTTCTGCCTATGAGCCTGTAAAATCAAAAACAAGTTAGTTACATCCAAGATAGGCAAGGGGTACAGACATTGGGTAACTGCTTTTACTCCACTGAGAGAAACTGGCAAAAACAAAGAGGCAACAGACCCCATGCATGTTCGAAGACCAGCGAGGCTGTTGTTAAATCTTAAAGCCCTGGCCGGACATGGTCGTTCATGCCTGCAATCCCAGCACTTTGGGAGGCTGAGGTGGGTGGATCACCTGAGGTCAGGAGTTCAAGACCAGCCTGGACAACATGGTGAAACCCTCTCTCTACTAAAAATATAAAAACTAGCCAGGCATGGTGGTGGACGCCTGTAATCCCAGCTACTCAGGCGGCTGAGGCAGGAGAATTGCTTGAACCCAGGAGACAGAGGTTGCAGTAAGCCGACACAGTGCCACTGCACTCCAGCCTTAGTGACAGAGTGAGACTCTGTCTCAACAAACAAACAAACAAAAATCTTGAAGCCTCTAAATTATCTCCATTGACTCCATGTCTCAATCCAGAGCATGCTGATGCAAGCGCTGGGTTCCAGGCACACAGTGCAAGCTGTTGGTGGATCTACCATTCTGGGGTTTGGAGGATGGTGGCCCTCCTATCACAGCTTCACTAGGCAGTGCCCCAGTGGGGACTCTGCATGAGGGATCCAATCCCCCATTTCTCCCCTGCATTGTCCTGGTAGAGGTTCTCCAGGAGGGTTCCGCCTCTGCAGCAGACTTCTGCATAGACATTCAGATGTTTCCATATATTTACCAAAATCTAGGCTGAGGTTCCCAAAGCTCAACTCTTGTTTTCTGCACACCCACAGGCACAACACCACATGGAAGCTACCAAAGCTTAGGGCTTCCACCCTCTGAAGCAATGGCCAAGCTGCACCTTTGCCCCTTTTACCTCACCTGGAACACAAGCAGCTGTTATGCAGGGTAACAAGTCCAAGGCTGCACAGAACAGTGGGGCCCTGGGTCTGGCCCAAAAAACCACTTTTTCCTCCTAGGCCTCCAGGCCTGTGATGGGAGGGGCTGCCATAAAAGTCTCTGACATGCTCTGGATTTATTTTCTCCATTGTCTTGGTGATTAACATTCAGCTTCTTCTTACTTATGCAAATTTCTGCAGCCTGCTTGAATTCCTTCTCAGAAAAATGGGTTCTGCTTTTCAACCACATGGTTAGGCTGCAAATTTTTCAAAACTTTATGCTCTGCTTCCCTTTTAAATATAAATTTCTACTTAAAACTGTCTCTTTCTCAGTGCATATAACTGAACACTTTTAAGAGCACCCAGGTCACATTTTGAATGTTTTGCTGCTTAGAAATTTTTTTTTGCCAGAAATCCTAAATTGTCTCTCTCAAATTCAAAGTTGCACAGATCTTTAGGGCAGGGGTAAAATGTTGCCAGTCTTTTTACTAAAGTGTAGGAAGAATGACTTTTGCTCCAGTTCCCAATAAGTTCTTCATCTCCATCTCAAACCACCTCAGTCTGGACTTCATTATCTATGTCACTATCAGCATTTTGGTCAAAACAATTCAACAAGTCACTAGGAAGTTCCAAACTTTCTCACATCTTCCTATCTTCTTCTGAGCCCTCCACAGTGTTCCAACTTCTGCCTGTTACCCAGTTCTAAAGTTGCTTCCACATTTTCAGGTTATCTTTATAGTAGAACCCTACTAAAATGGTACCAATTTACTGTATTTATCTATTTTTACATTGCTATAAAGAGCCACCCAAAACTGGGTAGTTTATAAAGGAAAGAGGTTTAATTAACTCACAGTTCTTCATGACTAGGGAGGCCCCAGGAAACTTACAATCAGAGAAGTAGGCAAGTCTTACATGGTGACAGGAGAGAGATGAAGCAAAGGGAGAACAGGCCCTTCTGAAATCATCAGATCATGTGAGAACTCACTCACTACCATAAGAACAGCATGGGGGAAACTGGCCCCATGATTCAATCACCTCCAACCAGGTCCCTCCCTCAATACCCTGAGATTACAGTTTGAGATGTGATTCAGGTGGGAACACAAATTCAAAGCATATCAGTGACCATATGAAAATTCTTCTGGAATATTCCCACATGTAAAAATCAATGAGTGTAATGCACCAAATTAACAGGTTGAAGGAACAGTAAAACCTTGATCATCTCAATTGATGAAGAACATAATTATGTGTCAAAATTAAACAGTCTTTCATGATGAAAACATTCAAAAAACTAGAAATAGAAGGAAATTACCTCAATAGAATAATAATCATGTATAAAAACCCCATAGTGAACATTATGATCAGTAATGAAAAACCAAAAACTTTTTCTCTAACATCAGAAATAAGGCAAGGAGTGGTGGGCGCCTGTAGTCCCAGGTACTCAGGAGGCCGAGGCAGGAGAATGGCATGAACCTGGGAGGTGGAGCTTGCAGTGAGCCAAGATCGTGCCACTGGACTCCAGTGTGGGCGACAGAGTGAGACTCTGTCTCAAAAAAAAAAAAAAAAAAAAAGAAATAAGGCAAGGATACCGAATTTCACCATTTCTATCAAACATAGTACTAGAAGTTCTAGCCAGAGCACTTTGGCAAGAAGAAGAAAGTCATCCCATTTGGAAATAAAGTAGTAAAATTATCTCTGTTCACAGATGACATAATTTTATACATTGAAAACACTAGGTATTTTACAAAAATTGTTAGAGCTAATAAAAAACTTAGCAAAGTAGCAGGGCAAGTCATCACCAAAATTATTTGCAATTATATACATGCTAATAGTAAAAATTCAAAAAGAAATTTAAGAAAACGATTTCATTTATAATAACATGAAAAAGAATAACATATTTCGGATTTAATTTAATCAGGGAGGTGAAAGAATTGTACAATAAAAACTACAAAACACTGATGAAAGACATTAAAGAAAACATAAATAAATTATAATAAATCCCATGATCATGGAGTAGAAGACTTAATATTATTAAGATAATACTACTCGAAGTGTTCTACAGATTGAATGTAATCCTTATCAAAACTCCAATGATATTTTTTCTGGAAAAAGAAAACTTTATCTTAAAATTTATAAAATTATCAAGGAACCACTAGTACCCAAAACGATCTTAAAAAATAAGGCAAACATGTAGGACTCACATTTACTGATTTTGAAGCTTATTACAATGTTACAATGATAAAAACAGTGTGGTATTGGCTTAAAGACAGACATAGAGACCAATGGAACAGAATATCAATGCAAATGTATATATCATATGCATGTGATTAATAGAAATAATTAAAATTTTATATGTGTCAAAACCCAGTTTACTTGATTATAATATCATCAAAAAACATAAATATTAAACATTCTGAAAATATGATTGAGCAAATTTAAATATTTTAGCATTCAGAAGATTATTGTTAAATCATTGTTTTCAGTACTGAGGTAGATAATTTCATTACCCACTGACATTTTATGATGCTGTCACTTTTCTAATACTCATGATTTGGGAGCAGTAACTAAAACAAACTCTGTTAAACATAGATATTGCTTCACCATCAAAGCTGAGTCAATTAAGTACCCTAAACCCTGCCCACAGTAATGTGTCTATGGGCATATTATTAATACTAGGTACAGATTATAATCATCCTTAGTGGCCTTTTGTTTTGAATAAAAATTCCAAATAATTTACTTCCATTGGCCAACGTAAAGTAACCTTCTCACTAATGTTTGAATAGCGAAAAAAAAGGCAAGTCAAAGAGAGAAGAAAGACAGCCAAGAGAATAAACAACAAGCCTTCTGATGGCATTTAAGCTAAAAATAATCGTTTTTTCTTGTTTTTACTCAAGTAATTATAGTGCTTGGGAAAAATATTTTTTATAAGCAGAGAATAAAACGAAATTATTAAATAAATATTCTTGGCCTACAGACATAATATGTGAGGCATAAACCTGAAGTTTGGAAGTATTTTTAAAATAATTTTACTTTGCTTTTTTTTATTATACTGTTTTATCATGCACAAGTGTGCAAACCAAAGTTGTTTGTCTGGAAATACAAAAAACTGACTGCTAAAGATAATTATGAACTCCATTAAGTAGGTATTTTAAATTAAGTAAATAGCTTGCTATGTTAACTTTTCTAGACCAACACTGGTCTAGTCTCTTCATAGATGAGAACACTACACTGAATGTATATGTATTTTTATCTTTCTTTAAAAAACATTAATTACTGAACTAGTTCACATAGAAGAATCAAGAATGTAAGTTCTGTGACAGATTTTTGTGTGGCTTATAATATTCAAGGAAGTGTAGGATGAAGTTTGGCATGGTTGTAACTAAACTGGTTAGTTCAGTTCATTTTCACCAAAAAATTATTTTAATTACCTTTTATAATTTCAGATGTGAAAATTATTAAAACAAAATTACTGATAAACCACAAGGCATGAACTTGACTACATAAATTTACCAACATATTAAGGAAAATAAATCTATCCATATTATATATTCCTCTAAGTGTCTTGAGGCAGACATCTATTTTATTATTATGTGTCATAGTTGTATTTTGAATTCTTTTTCTCTGTCCACAACAGTATTCAATAAGTATTAAGATAATCAAGTTGAGATATAATTTGATACCTTAATTATTTGCAATTTGATTCTTTCCCCCTAACTCAGCATTCTGGGGATTGGTGCATGCATTTATAAAGTGTATGGTGCTATCTGTACATAGATTTTTGTGACAATGTTTATATTGTTTCTTCCTTGAGGAATTATGTTTATCTTATTCCATAGAATTTCCTAAAAGTAGCATACACATACATATACACATAGAAAAAGGAAGAGTTGGGGTGAGAGAGAAAGGCATAGAGATCTGTTTGAAAAAGGAAGGCATATGACATTTAAAAATCTGGCTACATTAGAATGTATGTGACAGTGAAGCAAGTTTTCTTTTAAGAAACCTATCACTTTGTCTTCTCTTAAAATATCAATTTGGCAGTTCCAACATATTTTAAATTAGAATTCACTTCCACATTTAAGTCTTTATTAATTTATGCTCTATGAACAGTACTGTCTTTATTGTCATGAAGGAAAATTCAGCATGCTGAAGTTACAGGGAAAGCCCCAAATTTCTCTTCTTTGATTTTAATTAAGTTTAAAATAGATGGCATATTTTAGAGGTGTAAGCCACAAGGTGTATTATCCAAAATCTTTGTCAATGTGTTCTATAAATTTTATTGATTTTTAATTGAATGAGTAATCTTCACTTAGAAGGTTCAGTTTTGGAATATACTGGTAGTAGCAAATGAAAATAGAGATACAAGGAGAATGCTTTCAGCTTTTGCCCATTCAGTATGATATTGGCTGTGGGTTCATCATAAAAGACTCTTATTATTTTGAGGTATATTCCTTCAATGCCTAGTTTATTGAGAGTTAGTTACATGAAGGGATGTTGAATTTTATAGAAAGTCTTTTCTGCATCTAGACGTAATCATGTGTTTTTTTTCTTTAGTTCTGTTTATGTGATTAATTTGAATAACGTTTATTTATCCGCATATGTTGAACCAGCCTTGCCTCCTGGAGATGAAGCCAACTTGACCATGGTGGAGAAGTTTTTCATGTGTTGTTGGATTTGGTTTGCAAGTATTTTATTGATGATTTTTGCATTGATGTTCATCATGGATATTGGCCTGAAGTTTCCTCTTTTTTTGTTGTATCTTTGCCAGATTTTGGTATCAGAATGATGCAGGCCTCATGAAATGAGTTAGGGATGAATCCCTCCTTTTCAAATGTTTGGAATAGTTTCAGAAGAAATGGTACCAGATACTCTTTGTACTTCTGGTAGAATTCAGCTGTAAATCCATCTGGTCCTGGGCTTTTTTTGGTAGGTAGGTATATTTGTCTGGATTCTCTTTAGGAACAGAACTAATAGGATAGATAGAATATATATAAAGAGGAGTTTATTAAGGAGTTTTAAACTCACACAATCACAAGGTCACAGAATAGGCCAGCTGCAAGCTGAGAAGCATGGAAGCCAGTGTGAGTCCTAAAGCTGAAGAATTTGAAGTCAGATGTTCAAGGGCAGGAAGCATCCAGCACAAGAGAAAGATGTAGGTTGGGAGGCTAAGACAGTCTAGTCTTTTCACATTCTTCTGCCTGCTTTTATCTTTGCTGCCCTGGCAGCTGATTAGATAATGCCTACCCAGATTAAAGATGGGTCTGCCTTTCTCAGTCCACTGACTCAAATTTTAATCTCCTTTGGCAACACCCTCACTGACACACCCAGGATCAATACTTTGCATCTTTCAATCCAATAAAGTTGACACTCAGTATTAACCATCACAGTAAGCTATTTATTACTGCTTCAATTTCAAAACTTGTTATTGGCCTATTCATAGATTCAACTGCTTCCTGGTTCAGTTTTTGGAGGAGGTATGTGTCCAGGAACTTATCCATTTCTTCTAGATTTTCCAGTTTATTTGCATAGAGGTGTTTATAGTATTCTCTGATGGTTATTTGTATTTCTGTGGAGTCAGTGGTAGTATCCCCTTATCATTTGTGATTGCAAATGTAAAACCCAAAACTATAAAAACCTTGGAAGAAAATCCAGGCTATACCATTTAGGACATAGACATGAGCAAAGATTCTATGACAAAATCGCCAAAAGCAATGACAACAAAAGCAAAAATTGACAAATGGGATCGAATTAAACTAAAGAGCTTCTGCACACACAAAAAAAACAAAAACAAAAACCTATCATCAGAGAGAACAGGCAGCCTACAGAATTGGAAACAATATTTACAATCTATCCAGCTGACAAAGGTCTAATATCTAGAATCTACAAGGAACTTAAGCAAATTTACAAGAAAAAAACAACCCCATTAAAAAGTGGGCAAAGGACATAAACAGATACTTCTCAAAAGAAGACCTTCATGCAGCCAACAAACATATAAAGGAAAGCTCAACATCATTGATCATTAGAGAAATGCAAATCAAAACCACAATGAGATAGCATCTCACACTAGTCAGAATGGCGATTATTAAAAAGTCAAAAAACAACAGATGCTGGAGAGATTGCGGAGAATTAGGAACACTTACACTGTTGGTGGGAATGTAAATTATTTCAACCATTGTGGAAGACAGTGTGGTAATTCCTCAAAGATTTAGAGCTGGAAATATCATTTGAACCAGCAATCCCATTACTGTGTATATACTCAAAGGAATATTAATTATTCCATTATAAAGATACATGAACATGTATGTTCATTGTAGCACTATTCACAATAGCAAAGACATGGAATTAACCTACATGCCCGTCAGTGATAAACTGGATAAAGAAAATGTGATGCAAATACACCATGGAATACTATGCAGCCATAACAAGAAATGAGATCATGTTCTTTGCAGGGACACGGATGAAGCTGGAAGCTATTATCTTCAGTAAACTAACGCAGGAACAGAAAACCAAACACTGCATGTTCTCACTTATAAGTGGGAGGTGAACAATGAGAACACATGGACACAGAGAGGGAACAACGCACACTGGGGCCTGTCAGGGGAAGGCAGGGGTGGGAGAGCATTACAAAAAATAGTTAATGCATGCTGGGCTTAATACCTAGGTGATGGGTTGTAGGTGCAGCAAACCACCATGTCACATGTTTATGTAACAAACTTGTGCATCCTGAACATGTACCCCAGAACTTATAAAATAAAACAAAATAAAAAATAGAAATACAGCAAAACTGCCAACACAGGCTTTTTTTTTTTTAACTTTTTAAGCCGTGTGATCTGCATTTCTATAAGTACGTTTATTTCATCATAAGTATTAATTGTGTTGTAATTAAAATCTCAATTATAATTTTATTGAGAAATATCTGACAGAAACTTGACAAAATTGTGCATGTGAATAAAATGTAAAAATTTTATAGACAACAGATGTTGAATAGATGAATTTAAAATAATATATGAATTCTTATTTTAATATGATTACATATCATCAGTCGTTCCTGAGTAAAAGAATTTTCATACTATCATTTTACTATTTTAAACAAAGATGACTTTTTGTTCATTTGTTGCTAATATTTAAAAATTATTTTAGCACCATGTCTGTAACTTTATCTCCCTTGAACAAATATCTCTATATATTTTTCCTTAAAAAAGCTTTTTTGAGAAAGCTACAAAGTTATTTTAGTGTGGGGAAGGGAGTACATAGAGTTCATCTTATTCTATTTGCTGCTAATAATTTTTTTGTGGTTAAATATGCTTAACATAAA
Source organism: Homo sapiens (assembly GCF_000001405.40). Taxonomy (NCBI): domain Eukaryota; kingdom Metazoa; phylum Chordata; class Mammalia; order Primates; family Hominidae; genus Homo; species Homo sapiens. The sequence goes on along the minus strand of NC_000004.12, from coordinate 131,625,804 downwards.
ATTTACCATTTTAAACATGTTTAAGTGTATAGTTATCAATTTTTCATTGTTGGAAACCACCCAGATTTTGCTACTTTCTTACAGCCACAGTAGAAAACTAATATATGTTCCTTACTTCAGAAGATAAGTTTAAAATATCAAGAGAGTCTTCTGGCTGTATCTTTTTTAACCGTCATCTCTTAATTTTGGACTTTTTATAAACTTTGGACAAAAACATATTTAGTAGTGTAAGATAAGACTATATAAGTTTAGGAAAGGGAGAAAATTTAAACATCTTTAGAATGATGTTTCCTCAACTGATTAAAGTTTAACTTATTCACATTATCTCAATTCCTGAGGTTATCTTGCAGAAAAAGAGACACTGAAAATGACTAACTTTATTGCAATAGAACATTTTTTAGGACAGCTGCTTTCTAGAGAGGATTTTTTTCACAGATAAAACTCCAAACAATCCTACAATAGAGACATATTCTTCTAATTAAATGTATTTTTTCTGTCAATCTCACTTATACTAAAATTATTATAGAGAAATATTAAAATATATTATAGCCACTTATTAATTTAAATTGGCACCTTGCACTGGGTGTTATCATATTAGCATGTCAATAAAAGTTGGTAAGAATGCATTATGTATGTGTGAAAACATAGTGGTTAATCTCTATGAACATTCTTCTCCTCTATGTTGAAAATTAATAGGAACTTAGGATTCAACTAACAAGGATTTGTAGTAAGGAATTAAAAATGTGCCTTTGTAAAAATGATATTATTTCAAATAACATCAATGTTTGAAATTAGTCATTGTTAAGATTGTTTAAACTGGTGAAGAGAATGAATATCTCTTCCATTTAAAAATATGAGAAATATTAGCAAAGGACGTATTACATATTTGATAAATAATATCAATTCAACTCAGAATGTCAGAAAGAAGATTGAATATAGTGGCCTATCACTCAGGAAAATAGATTTGCAATCACGAACATTTTTGAGTGGCATTATTTTGCAGATGGTTTCTAAATCCATGAGAGTGGTGGAGGTCATGGAGAAGAAGTCTTTTATGACTGCCTCTACCTCTCAAGCCTGAAGCTTACCTGATTTGTGTTGAGAATTTAAAACAAAATGAACAAACAAAATAAAGTATAAGAGTAAATATTTACATGGAACTAGAAATTGCAATAATATTTTTAAGTATGGGAAAGACCTTTATTATGTTGTGGTACATTCCTTTTATACCTAATTTGTTGAGCATCTTTATTATAAAAGGTTGTTAAATCATGTTAAATGCTTTTCCTATATCTACTGAAATGACCATTCTACTTATGTGATTAATGTGATATATCACATTTATTGATTTGCATATGTTGAATCATTCTTGCATGCGAGGGATAAAGGACATCCAAATTAGAAATGAGGGAGTTAAACTGTCTCTTTTGCAGATGACATGATCTTATATATAAAAACTCCTATAAGTTTTTATATATAAGATATATATATCTTATATATACTCATTATATATAAGACTAATAAACTAATAAACAAATTCATTAAAATTGCAAGAGATGAAATCAGCATACAATTTTCTCAAAAACCTAAAAATAGAACTATCACATAATCCAGCAATTCCACTACTTAGTATTTATCAAAGGAAAGTAGATCAGTATAACAAAACATGGGCCTTACAGTTCCATGTTTATTGCAGCACTATTCACAATAGCACATATATGGAATCAGTCTAAATGCCCATCAGTAGATAAGTGGACAAGAAAAATGTGGTATATATACACAAGGGAATAGTATTCAGCTATAAACAAGAAGAAAATGTTGTCATTTGCAGTGATATAGATGAAACTGAAAGATATTATGTTAAGGGAAATAAGCCTGGCCCAGAGAGACAAATGTCACATATTCTCACTAACACATAGGAACTAACAATTGGATCTCACGTAGTTGGAGAGTAAAAAGATAGTTATCAGAGGCCTGGAAGGGTGTGTATTGGGCAGAAGGAAAGAAAAAAGAGGCAAATGGGTAAAAATATACCATTAGATAGAAGAAATAATTTCTATTTTTCAGTAGTACATTGGGATGACTATAGTTAACAACAATATGCTGTATATTTCAAAATATCTAGGAGAGAGAATTTGAAATGTTTCCAACACAAAGAAATAATAAATACTTGAGGTGATTTTATCCTAATATCCTGACTTGATCATTACTCCTTCTACACATGTATCAAAATATTACATGTGCCGTGAGTATGTAAAAATATTATGTATCAAAAAAGATTATTTTGTGACACATAAAAATTACATAAAATTGAAACTTAGTGTCTATAAAGTATTACTAGAATTCAAAAAGCCTCAAACAACAACAAAAGCCAAATAGTTTTATGAAAAATTAGGCAACAAATCAGAAGAGACATTTCAGACTACAGATCTATCTTAACTCTAGATCTATAGTTAAAAATATAGTATTGTGTACTTTAGCGTATGTTGTGGAGCCATCTCATGTTAAGTATTCCTGGTACAACAAACAAACAAAACACAAAAGAACATAAGAAAATATTTGAAGGTGATGGATATATTTTGTACCTTGATAGTGATGGGAGAATAATGGGTGTATGCATATGACCAAGCTCACCAAAATGTATACGTTAAATATGGGCAATTTGGGTATATCAGTTATACCTCAATAAAGTTTAAAAAGTTAATAAAATATGACAAATATCTATCTTGCAAAATCCTGAGGAACAATGTATTTATTCATTTATATAGCCTAACACCAAACCTCCATAATCCCATTATCATACATTTTTTGGTCTTATTCTTGGATCACCTCAATTAAGAATGATTTCGGTGTTATATTCAAAAGAAAAAAATAGCATATGTGTGTTTTTTCCCACATAAATGATTGATGTTTGATTTATTGATAATTGTGAAGTGTTTCTTTTTTGTTTTATAACTTATTAGTAATGCTTTGTAAATATTTTGATTGGGTTGAATTTGAGAAAATCAAGTTCACAATGGAATATAACACTTGTCCTTATCTTTTTGTGTCACAGAATTAGTAAATCAGCATAGAAAGTGGTAGAAATATTTCTGGAAGCCACTCCTATGTCTGCTCAACAAACACTAACTGAATTATATACAGAAGTGACTGAGAACTACATAAAAACCCACTTAAACTCAAATTTAATATATGTCTAATGTATCTTCCCCTAGTTGGGTCCCTAAAATACCCACAGGTATTCCATCTTCTTCAGACGCAAAGTGGAAAGTGAATAAGGCATAGCTTTAAAGGAAAATGTATGTGGTTCTTATTGTTTTATAATAAATACCTTCAATACATTTTACTAAAGCCAAGAGACATGGTCACATATTGCAATGGCTCCTCCCAGTGCTTTTAAAGGAGTTAAATGAAGGTCCCTGAAGTTTAGATTTCATTCATTTCTCTTTTAATCCACCTCTGCATAGACTAGAGGGTAGATAAAATGAAGTCTTAGGATAAAGACATGAAGGATACTACTATTTATAGGTCAGTTAAGGGAGGAACCAGGAAACATCCACTGTAGGGTAATGAAAATTAGGGAATAAATTTAAGAAACACATTGTGGTTGCTTTTGAAAATACCACTGAATGGTCAAATAAGACTATCAATGAATGGTAAGCATTGGACTTTCAATGAAAGTCTTAGGTGTAATAGGCAGATATGAGAAAGAAAATGAGAAGTGAGTTATTGGAATAGGTTAGGAACTGATTATTTAATGAATATATCTATGAAAAGAAATAAAGCAATAAGTCATTACTTACACAGGAACCATAACTAGGGGCAGTGGCTCCGGTAGAGCATGGCTTGTGCCCAGGAGGTCAAGGCTACAGTGAGCGATGATCTTTTGCAACTGTACTCCAGCATCGGTGACAGAGTGAGACCCTGTCACTAGAGATAAAATACAGTAAGATAACTATTAGGCAGATCATAATCTGTCACCTGTATTTATGTAGTAATTTTATCACTGCTTGCAGTCTCTAAGATTACTCCCATCGGAAACCAAATTTGACTCTGCATATTTTAGCTCTGTACTCTTTCTAAGGAACTGAGCTATTCATGTTACTCCTTTGCTTCATAATATGATACTTATGGTGTCATAATTCTCCATATACAAGCTAAAATTTTTGTGCTCTAGCTAGACGGAATTATACTCCTTAGCATGCTATGTTCTCTTGTCTGAGGATCTTTGCTGCTTCTTTTATATCACCAACCCCTTCAAAGTTTTACCAATTTTTTTTAGGTATGGGCTTCCCAGTATGCCCTCCAGGAAAAAATTCCTCTTATTTATGCCTCTATTCCGTGGCCTTCGTATTCACTCTCTTTACTTCTCTCCCTTATTAAATGTTTAGATATGATACATCTCTTTTACTTATCTGTTTTTCCCACTTGATTGTATGTTTGGTAATGGAGAAAAATCTCAATACCCATAGCATACTTAAATGTTTGTCTACCATAATATTCTGTGAGAAATGTTAAACTAATGTGGTGTTTTTTTCTGTCTTAAATATATGGTGTTATACATGTACAGTGATTTGATTAGTTAAACTAATATAATGAGCTATTACAAAAAAGTCTCTAAAGTTTTGAGGTCAGCACATAGAATTAATCTAGCAATAAAAACAATATGTGCATATCTGAGTATTTCCTTATATTTTTTTTCTGAGACAGAGTCTCACTCTGCTACCCTGGCTGGAGTGTACTGGTGCAGTCACAGATTACTGCAGCCTCAATGTCTCAGGCTCAGGTGATTTTCTCACCTCAGACTCTTGAGTAGCTGAGACTACAGGCATTCGCTTCTACATCTAGCTAATTTTTGTGGGTTTCTTTTTTTCTTTCTTTTGTAGAGATGGGGTTTCACCATGTTGCCCAGGGTGATCTTGAACTCCTGGGCTCAAGCAATCCACCCACCTCAACCTCCCAGAGTGCTGAGAGTATAGCCATGAGCCACCATGCCCAGCCTGAACTAGTTATAACTTTTCTATAAGTCAATAGTCTATGAAGAGTTAATTAACTTTGGTCAGGTACTTCTACTTCTAGCACTGAACCTAAACAGTCAAAGTTTACTGAGTTTTATTTACAAAGATGTTTCATCTAGTCTTTTCTCCTGAAACTAAAACAAATTTTAAAATCTAAGACACCAAAAAATGAAGATTTTTAAATAAAAGGGTATATATATTCAAAGTGCAAGTATTTAAATGAAAAGTTGTCTTTATTTGAATAGTTTTGTACCACACTGAAGCAATTTTGAAAAATAAATACTGTTGGTGAAACAATTTTCCCTAGATTTCTTAATATTTCTGCATGGTCCAGGCTTTATGAGCAAAAAGTATTGACAAGTGCTACTAAAAATAGAGAAGTGCGTTTCCTCTTTCCTCTCTCCTTCAAAACTGATGCAGAGAAGGTGAGCCCCAGAATGGGGCATAGCCCGGAAGGGTTCTTGACTTTGTCTAGGAAAAAATTTAAGAGAAAACTGGTGGTGAAAGAAATCAACTTTATTGAAGTGATAGTGTATGCAGAGGTACTGCTTCTTGTTGAGCAGGGTTAACCCATAGGCTGTGTGGCCACACGAGTAGCATATGGGCTGCTGAGCAGCTATATTTACACTCATTTTTAATTACATGCAAATAATAACTTTCTATAAAGTGCTGGTGAGTTTTCAAAAACATATAAAGTAACTTTTGGGTCATTCACATGGAGTACTGCCATGACATTTCCAAACTGTAATGGTGGCAGTAGGAGTGTCTTTATGTTAATGACCAGGGAGGGCAACTAGAGAATTCTTTCCTTGCCATCTACTGGTTTTGCCCGGCTTCTTCAATGGACCATATATTGACCAGATCCTGCTCCAAGCAGTGGGGAGGCAACACGGGTCATGACTGGTGCTTGGAAAACAAGTCTGGCCAATGATCTCCTACCTCAAAACCATTTAGTGAAATTTTAAGCTTGTAGAAGCTTTCTTTACTCAGATGAAAGGAGAAGCAAATATGTCATTCACCCTAGATAAACTCCAGTCTCATAATTTTGTGGTTCTTGTGCAGATGAAAATCTGGCCTCATCACATAATTCTGTGGAGAATTGGGATATGGGGAAGCAACATAAGATGCTAGTCTAGCCTCTGTTTTGAATAATAAAAGGTCTATTTTCTGATACAGAGTTGTTGCTGTTTATAGATATACTGTGCTAGGTAAGCATGGTGAAATCTCAGATCCATTGCATTTTCTGATTTATGAATTACTATATGTACTACTCTATAATCATAGCCCATTTATCTATATAGATAGGCTATGATTCTCTCTCTCTCTCTCTCTCTACATATATATATGGAGAATAATGCATGTACAAAATAAAAAATCAGAGCAGTGATAATAATTAGGAGATAATGGACTTATAGAAACTTACATTTTTATATTTTTGAGAGTGTTCTACATTTCCTTTGACAAACGTAAGTTACATTGATATTCAGAATTTAAGAAAAGCATTTATACTGTTTAATGAAGCATTATGTTGTAAAAAAATAAGTATCAAAAGTGCCAGGTCTAAAACCATTGCTTTGGTAAATAGCTTCAAAAGTAATTATCATCAATATTAGACGCATGAATTGTTTTTATTACCAATTATTACAGCACATTGTAATCACCTGGGAAGCACACCAAAAAGTAAAATAATAATATCCTGGTGTAAGACCCAAATATCGTAGACATTAAAAAATATTTTCCAGCTAATATATACACTCATGATTAAGAACAATAGACCTAGAAATATGATTTTGCTATTCATTACACATGGAGATCACTACACATCACAACTTAGTTGCAGGTCTCTAGGATGTAACACAAAACTTGAATCAGAAAATTATTAATATAATATTCTCAGCCTCAAAATAAAGGTGATTTATTTCCAGTAATCATACCATAAAGAGTTTGGGTAATTACCCTTTGTAGAAACAAATATACAACTAGAAAATGATCAGAAACAATTACTTTAGGACAATGGAAAATAATCAACGAAAGCAATAACTTGAGAAGTGTCTAGGAATAAAAACTGTTCCTTTTGCTTATAACAACAATAATTTTGCTACAATGTATTGTTGAAAATCTCTAGTTTTCAAACAAATATTGGTAGGCCAAAAAAAACCCAAAGTTTTATTTATGCTTAGAGATGAAAAGACTGTAAAGTAAGCTGACTTCAAGCAGGTCTAGATATTTGGTTTTCACAGATAAAGACTACAGAGCAACTACTGTAAATATGTTAAAGGAAAACGGATTAATAGTGACTAAAGAAAAAGAAAAAATCAATACAAAAAAGATGCAAACTATAAAAAATAAATGGCAATTTTGTATCTAAAAAGTAATTTTGCATAAATTAAAAGCTTACCAAAATGGTTCAGTAGTAGATTTGAAAGGGCGGACACAAAAAAAAAATCAATAAACTTCAAAAGAGTTTAATCATTTCATTTCAAATAACACAGAAAAAAACTAATCATAACAACAGAGCCTCAGACATCTGCTGGAAAATAACAAACATTTCAAAGAAATGCATCATGAGAGTCCTAGAAGTAGAATAAAAAGGACTGCAAATATATTTGAAGAAATGATGACAAAAACTTCACAAATTAGTTGAAAAATATTAACTTACTGATTGAAGGAGCTCAATAAACATTAATAGGTTAATCATTTAGAAAACCACATTTACATATATCCTTATATAAATTCTGAAAGCTGAAAATAAAAGGAAACCTTGAAGCAACAAGGGTAAATGTTTATGTTTGTGGAAAATAGAATTAGTGGCTAATTTATTGTCTAAAACAACAAAAGTCAGAAGTATTAAAATGTATGTATTTGAATTGCTGAGAGGTGTGAAGAGGTCATCTTTCAATCAAGAATTCTGTATCCAGTGAAAATATTCTTCACATAAGAAGATAATATATTTCCATATTTAAAAAAATAAGAAAATGTTTGTAGTTGAACTTTATTACAGGAAATGCCAAAAGAACTTCTTTACACTGAATTAAAATAACACTACATCATCACTCAGATGCACAGGAAGAAAACAAGTGCACCAGAAACGATAATTATTGGTTAAATGCAAAATAAAAATATATGTGATCATTAAAGGTAAAATTGTAACACTAAATTTCATGGTTTATAACTTATATAGATATACTCTGTGATAAACATAAACACATGAATGGAGGATAGAAATATATATGTGCAAAATTATTACATATTATAAAATTAAGTCACTATTAATATAGATTGTTATGAGTTAAAGACATACATATGGCATTCCTTTAAAGAGCCACTATATACATACATAAAATTTAATACATGACCTTACAGGATAGGAAAATGATTTGTTTTAATAAATGAAGGTGTCAAGGGAGGAACAAAAAATCAAAAAGGTGAATGAATAATCAAATAGCAAAATAGCAGACTAAACTCAACTATATCAATAATTATATTGAAATTGAATGGACTAAACACTTCCATAAAAGGCAGAGACTGTCAGCGTAGATAAAAATGCAAGAACTGAAAATATTCTTTCTATAAAAAATAGACTTTAAATTTAAAAACACAAATATAATGGATGCATGAATTTGGAAAAATATGTGACATAAACAGTAAGAAAAATTAATGTAATGGCTGTAATAATAATAAACTAATTAGACTAAGATACATAGTTCTGTTTTAGATAAAAATATATTTTATAGTAATGAAAAGATGAATATATTAGGTAGGTAGGTATAACAATTAGAAATAATTATGCATGAGTAAAAACAATTTCAAAATAAAAATGCAAAAATTAACAATTTATAGACTAGACAAATTATCATATATATTTGGATATTTTAATACTTACTTCTCAGTAATTGAAACAATTAGAAAGAATATCAACAAGGATAAATAAGGCCAGAGCAACACTATATAGAAAAGTAATCTAATTAATATCAATAGAGAATTCCACTGAATGAATATAGGATTCACATTCCTTTCAACCACTCACTAACCATGTTTTGGTCCATAAAACAAAACTCAATAAATTTTTAAAAATTGAGATAATTTACATCATTTTATCCTACTTAATGTATTTAAATTAGAAATTCTATGTCCAGAATAGGGAGAAGAAAAAAAATCTATATCTAGAATAGAGAGGAGAAAAATATGAGGATGATAAAGAACAGATTTCTAAATACTCAATGTGTCAAATAAGAAATCCAAAGGGAAATTTAAAGAAATACATATATATATGTGTGTGTGTGTGTGTGTGTCTGTATATAATGTTTACTTGCTAAGATCAGTACTTGCTAAGATCAGTGAAATAGAATTTTGAATGTCTGATAAAGAGCAAAAAAGAATAAAAATTAGCAATATATATGTAACTGAAATAAAATAGAAACACAATATAATGAAAATAGGTAGGACACAGATAGAACAGTGATTTAACGCTATTTATAGCTTCATGGTCAATAATGGAAAAGTCTATAATTAATGATGTCAACTTTCACCTTAGAAATCCAGAAAAAGAAAAATAAATAAAACAAAAATGTATCTAATGAAGAAAATAATTCAGATCAAAGCAAAAATCAATTAAATAGAAAAACAACAGAGAAAAATTAATTGAACAAAAATTATATATTTGCTAAGATCAGTAAAACTGAATTTTAGATAGACTGATAAAGAATAAAAAGGAAAGCAAAAATTAGCAATATCAGGAAGGAGATAGGAATATTGCTACAAACCTTATAAGATATTAAACATAATTAAGAATTATATTGAACAATTTTTGTTAACACATTTGTCTGCTTAGAAGGTATGAATACATTCTTAAAAAAACAATTTACCGGCCTGGTGCGATGGCTCACACCTGTAATCCCAGCACTTTGGGAGGTTGAGGCGGGAGGATCACGAGGTCAGGAAATCGAGACCATCCCGGCTAACACAGCGAAACCTTGTCTCTACTAAAAATGCAAAAAAAAAAAAAAAAAAAAAAAATTAGACAGGTGTGGTGGTGGACGCCTGTAGTCCCAGCTACTCGGGGGCTAAGGCAGGAGAATGGCGTGAACGTGGGAGGTGGAGTTTACAGTGAGCCAAGATCGCGCCACTGCACTCCAGCCGGGCGACAAAGCAAGACTCCGTCTCAAAAAAAAAAAAAAAAAAAAAAAAAATTTACCAAAACTGAAACAAGAAGAATTAGAATTTTTGAATAAAACTATATTAAGCAAAGAAATTAAATTGGTAAATAAAAAAAATTCCACAAAGAAAAATTTTAGCCTTAATGTCTGATGAATTCTACTAAATATATAGAAAAATAATAATGCCAATTCCACACAAACACTTTCAGAAAATTGAGAAAGGAACACTTTATTTCATGAGGTCAACATTATTTTGATATCATAGCCAAAGTCATAACAAGGAAAGACAATTACAGAGTAATACTGACCCTCGACATAGGAATTAAAATCCTGAAAATGAATTGCCAAAGTGAGTCCACTAATAAATATATAACATAACAAACCACGTCTAAGAGAGGTTTGTCTCATGAATACAAAAATATAATACAAAAATCAATTAATGTACTATATACCATGTTAGTGGAATAAAAGGAAGGAGGCATGTACATAATAATCTCTGTAGATTGAATGAAAGAATATCACAAATTAACATACCTGTTCATGGTTAATAACTCTCAACAAATAAGGGCTATAAGGTAAATCCCTTAAATTGATAAAAGATATTCAGAAAGAACATAAAGCTAGCATTGTACTAAATGGTGAAAGAATGAATACATTATATTTAAGAAGATCAAGGCAATGATATTTGCTCTGACAACTTTTACTTAATATTGCATTGGAATTTCTAGCCAATTCAAGAAGGTAAGAAAAAAAGTAAAGGACATATAGATTCAAAAAAAGGAGTAAGACTTTCCTTATTTAGAAACAATATATTTATATAGAAATTCCTAAAAAAACTTACAAAGACCATTTATAATAGCATCAAAAGTAAATAAATTTAATTATTAAATAAAAATAGAAATTTATAGATATGTGATCAATTTATTTTTTTCTGTGCAAAACCTGCACTCATAATCATCAACTGACAGCATCATATAAATTAACAGGAGGGATTACCAAGTTATCAGTATTTTTAGTTAATTCGTTTTCTAGGACTTCCATAACAAAATACCATAGGTTGGGAAGATTACATTACTTAGATAGCAAAGCCAGATATAGACACCACAAGAAAATAAAACTATAGGCTACAATCCCTGATGAAAATAGATGCAAAAATCTTCAGCAAAATGCTAGCAAACTGAATTCAACAGCGCATTGGAAGGATCAAACACTATGATTAAGTCGGATTTATTCCTGGGATGAAAGAGTCGTTCAACATGGAAAAGCAATTAATGTGGTACATGACATTAACAAAATGAAGGATATAGCCACATGATCAACTTAACAGACTTAGAAAAAGCATTTGACAAAATTCAATATATGATAAAAAAAAAAAGACTTTCAACAATTTAGGTATAGAAGGAAGTTACCTCAACATAATGAAGTTCATGTATAACATCATACTCAGTGGTGAAAAACTGAAAGCTTTTTCACCAAGGCAAGGATGCTCACCTGGCCACCTCTATTAAACGCAGTACTTGAATTCCTAGCCAGAGCAATTTCCTAGAGAGGATTAACAGTGTATTAGGCCCTGCAGAATAAATATGAGCAAATATGAAAACCTAGTAGTTGAAACCACTTGTGGTGAATCATAGAAAATAAAAATAGAAAGAGAACTGAAAAAGTAAACTCAACCTCAGCAACATATGGGAAATACTAACTAATCTGCACAGAGGAAGGGAAAGAAAGGTAAGAATAGAAAAATATATATTTGAGGGCAAAAATGCCTGGGTATTTTCTAAATTTGATAAAAATGGCATACCTACAGATAAAAGGCACTTGATGGGTGTATTTATTCCAGCAGGAAAAAAACAACATAAAAGCATGCCAAGATGCATCATGATTGAATTGCTGAAAGGCAGCAATAAAAAGAAAGTTTGTATCTGAAAGGGTAAGAAAGTACACTAGTTTTTTAACTGCCAGAATTAGTTTCAAAGTGGTTCTAACATTTAATACTCCCATCAACAATGTATGAGTGTTCTGGTTCCTGCACCTCAACTACAACACTTGGTGTTTTGAGTCTGTTTTTGTTTTGTGTTTGCTATTCACGTAAGGTCTAGTGGTATCTTATTTTAATTTTAACTGATATTTCACTGATGTTGAGTCTTTTTTCATGTGTTTTGTGGTCAGATGTATAACTTTTCTATGACGTTTCTCTTTAAATCATTTGCCCTTTTAAAAATATATTTTCTGTTCTCAACACACAGTTATAGGTATTTGTTACATATCATGGATAAGTTCTCTGTTAGATATACATTTCTCAAATACCTCAGAAACCAAAGTTTATTTAGACATGTCCTCATTTCAAATCAGCTAAGTCCAACAAGTATCAATGCTACGTGTGTGTGTTCATCAGCTTGACCTACAAAGACATACACTACAGTTTCTTCACCGAGATTTTCTTTTTTTTTTTTGCAAATTCTTGAATTGCAAGTTATGAGTTAAATAGTTCCTAGATAGTTGTGTTCTGCACACAGCCTGGAACAAAACTCCGTTCTTCATTTGGCAATCTCTAATACAAAATTAAGTAATTAATTACTTAATTTAATTACAAATTAAAATTAATCACTAAAATTAAGTTACTCAATTTGGGAGGATATTCTGACTCTACAGTTTCATTTAAAAACTAGCTATAACTTGCATAGGTCACTTTCCTATTGATTATCTGTTTTTCTATTCACAGGCTCTCAGCTTTGTTAGAGCCCATACTGTGCTTTCATTCCTTACATTATTTGTAGCAGTACCTCAATAAATAGTGAAGGTCAAGAATGTAGAATCCCTCAATTTCTTTAATATGATCACCCCACAAATTCATACTTAAAATCTTAATTTCGAACTTATCAGTTCATCCATAAAAGTGATATTTTGTTCTGCTTATATACCTCAATTCAAAACATATTTTCACTTGCTACATTATTGAAAACCATATTTCCTCTCAATGGTTTTTAAGTTGCACTGTAAAATATGTACTATAATGGATCACATTTGATTAAATTATATGGTGGCTGAGACTATCTTGCAATTCATTCATACCCCAATCAATGACAATTCTATTATTATTTGGTGCCTCATATCCGCTAGCTGAATTGTACCTAACTTATCCTCCTTATCCAAAGGTAGAACTTTTTTGCTTGTAAACTACCTTGTTTCAAATATGTTGAAATTGTATTTCATTTTGTGAGATTTTTCTTTTGTCAAGTTTTACTCACTAAACTTACATGTCCTTTAAGCATGTGAAAAACATTTAAAAAATATATTACCTTAGTTATTTAAATAGCATCGTTTCTTATGATGACCTTTATCAGCACTAAATTATTATTGTAACTGACCAGTCAATTATTAATATTGCTAATAAAAATAAGTAATAAGATAAATGTACCATCAGGATATATCAAAATGGCAATATTGACAAGATAGCTGGTATCAGCTCAAAATGATGCCAAATTCTGCACTTTGATTTTACTTACTATAATTATAGTAGATATCAATTATGCTGTCCTAAAAGCACAATATATTTAGCATCATCAATTAAATTATGTGTTTCATTGGTTTTAACTTGGAAACAAAACAATTTTAGTTAGTTTTTCTTTTCTTTTCTTTTCTTTTTTTTTTTTTTTTTGAGACAGGGACTCACACTGTCACCGAGGCTGGAGTGCAGTGGCACAGTCTCGGCTCACTGTCACCTGGAACTTCTGGGTTCAAGTGATTCTTCCACCTCAGCCTCCAGAGTAACTGGAACTAAAGGCACACATTACCTTGCCCAGCTAATTTTTATATTTTCTTTAGAGATTGGGTCTCACTTTGTGCCCAGGCTGTTCCCAAACTTCTGGGCTCAAGTGATTCTCCCGCCTCTGTCTCTCAAATTGCTGAGATTAAATTAAAGATGAGAGCCACTATATCCAGCCTTTATTTAATTTTTTGAGAAAAAAGTTAAAATACAATGCCTGTTGTGGATAACTTATTTTTACATCATTGAATTTATGACCCATATTTTAAGATTTAATATTATGTGAAATTGATTTTGATGCCGTTTTGCATGCTTGCTTTTTTTCATGCGTGGTAAATGTAGAAGGTGCATTTTTTCCTAATGATGAACTATTTAACAGTCTATAAGATGTAATTTGTTTCCGATTGGATCTTAGACATCGTAAATGTTGTCCATATGTACAATGCATTGTATTTACTTAGATAGACACTATTGGCCTTTTGCTCTGAAGGGAATTACAGTTCTGGCACAGCCGTTTCATTCTTTCAAGGCCAGTTTTAAAGCCTTTTTAAGGACATGTATGTTGTAGTCTTTACACTAGGGCTAATTTAGCTCCCCCATTACATTACTGTTGTTTAGGGTCTCTACTTTAAGCTCCATGTATTCGGCAAGGTCTCTCCATTCTGGCTTGTGAAGCCTTGGATGAGTCCAAGCCTTGTGTGAGCCCTTGGAATTTTTTGGCTTATAGCTCTCCAGAATATTTTCTTTTCCTGAAAATTGTTCTTCACCTGCCTATTCTACCCTCGGAGTGAACAACTTAGTATTTGGCCAAAGACTCCAAAGGTCCACAAATGAATGGAGATTTTTCTCTTTGTAGTTCCTTCCTCTTATTACTCTGTCCTGTAAGTTCCCACCATCTTAGCATTTGTCTCCTCTACTCACTGAGAGACCATCAGGTTCTCTTTGCATCCCACTTCCTTGGTCTAAAAATTGCTTAGAAGTAGAAATATGGGGTAATCAGGCAACAAAAGAAGGAATATGTGACCCATTTCCAGGAAGAAAAAAAAATCAGTAAGTAAAAAGAGATTTGGGAATCACAGAGATGATGAAATTAGCAGACAAGGACATTCAAATACCTATTGTATTACTCAGCAATTAAAGGAAATGAATCACTAATACATGTCATAACAAGGATCACCAAAGCATTGAGTGAGAGAAGCCAGACACATAAGATTACACACTACATTATCCCCTGTACTTAAAATGACAGAAAATGCAAAATCATGGGGACAGAAAACAGATCAGAGGTTGCCAAGGGCCAGAGATAGAGATACGGAATTTGTTGCAAAGGAGCAGGAAAAAACTTTGTAAGGTGATTAAATCGCTTTGGACTTTGGTGGACTTGAGAGCATTCTTAATTTGTGAAAATGTTTCTTGATTGTGGTGGCAATTACATGATTATATACCTTTGTCAAAACTTACTGAACTGAGTATGTTGAAAGAATAAGATTAATTGTATATAAATTATATTTTAATAAACCTGACTTTTTAATAAAAGGACAAAAAAGATGTAATTTGTTAACATTTGTCATGTTTAGAAAGATATGCATATTACATGGTTTATAACAGCATGCAGTCAAGAATACATTCAATGTTATATTATTAAACTAATAAAAACAATGAACATATATTTAGTACTAAGAACAGAAAGGACTACACTATATCTGAACACTCAAGACAACCTGACAAAGCAGTTGCTCTGAATCCTCATCAGTTTATTTGCTTTGACTTTTTAGTGTTACTGAATTATTCAAAAAAGGTCTATTTAAGGGAATGTAGACATTCAATACATTTTTCATCAAATAGGGCAAATTTAGTTCAAAAGATATTTTTAGAAAAATTTCTTGTGAAAATATGTTGATTCACTGACTGAAATTTATCCATACAAATATAACATTATTATTCCAATATCATTAAATAGGAAAATGAAATATTTCACACCATTTTTGTCATCAAATAGGTTATTAGTAAGCTGAATGCATATACTAGTTCAGATAGGTAGATTTTTCAGACCTTGAAAAGATATCTTTGCACTAAATTAAAGAGATGTTTGATTTGTATACATAAATACCTTAGGTTTTACTCTTTGCTTGTTAGGTCACTAATAGGTGAATGAAAAGTGAACCAACACTGTTCTTTGAAAAGCTCTAGAGTGTATGATGGACATGTTTTTCTGGTAAGCTAATCAATAATGAAATCACATTGAAAAATGATGTATGTGAAAAGGCAAATTTAGAGCTAATATAGTGCATTTTATCTTTGCTTTGCATCGTAGTTTTGAAAACCAAGTCTCTTTATGGATTAAATTTTCTTTGTTGTTCTTACAGAATAAAATGATTGTGAAAATATTTTTCTTTAAGATGACTGGTAAAGTCAAGAAAAGTTTATATATTTAAATAAAATGTAAACTCTAGGAATTACACATTTTATAGAGGAATCTACTAAAGGACAATAAATGACTAAAATAGAGACTAAAAGACTAAAATATGCCTGCAATCAGTATTTGTATTTGCAATTTATTATAAATTACCCAGCATTAATCAGCCACTGTGTACCAAGCATTCAACAGTGATGGTGAAATGTGTCAGCAGCTTTCAACTTTGATTTTTGCTCTTATAATTTTTTAGCTTGGTTTTGTTTCCCTTCCCTTTAACAGATCATTTCCTTTCCTGAGTTGGTGCCAGCATCTTGTGTATCTAGATTTCTGAGGACACTGCTTTTCAAAGTGTGCTCTAAAGATCCTTGGTTCTAAAATGGTACTGTCAGAAAGCTGCTTTCACCTATTTGAATACATACTTCTTGTTACATCTGAATTCCAACAGATGCAGTTTTTTTCTTTTTCTTTTTTTTTTTTTTTTTTTTCTGAGGTGGAGTCTTGCTCTGTTGCCCAGGCTGGAGTGCAGTGGTGTGATTTGGGCTCACTGCAAGCTCCGCCTCCTGGGTTCACACCATTCTCCTGCCTCAGCCTCCCAAGTAGCTTGGGACTACGGGTGCCCGCCACCACACCTGGCTAATTTTTTCGTATTTTTAGTAGAGATGGGGTTTCGCCATGTTAGCCTGGATGGTCTCCATCTTCTGACCTTGTGATCCACCTGCCTCAGCCTCCCAAAGTGCTGGGATTACAGGCGTGAGCCACCACTCCTGGCCCAACAGATGCAGCTGTTTGCAGGCAAGTGATACCTGATTGGTGTGAGCTTGGCCTTGGGTTTTTCTGGGAACCCAATAGAGAGAGGTGGAACAGAGGTCTAAACCTGGCAGTTGATAAAGTGGAAAGTAGATATTCCTTGGTAATAAACAATACACAAATGAACTCATTGCTATCTTGATGGAACAGAAATTTCTGCTACTTGAACACCAGAAGCTGTACCTGAGCATCAAGCATAAATTGGCTCATGAATATTGAAAAAGTAAATAGCAGTAAGCCTAAGGTCACCTAACAGGCACACTAACAGGTCACCTAACAAACAGCAGAAAACTTGTTGCTAGTGGAACAAACTTTGGAAGAGACAGGTAGCAATCTGTACAATGAAATGAGAAAAAAGAGACAGAAGTGGAGGAGGAGGTGAACATTTCAATTATAACCTTAGGAAAAATATTTATGCAATAAAGAACATATATTTAAAGTGTAATATATATGTATGTAATTGCACCAATAGAAGTTACTGTTAAGACCATGTTAGTATTCTGTAAAATCAAATAGAATAAATATTACAAAATATAAGTAAATAAAAATAATGAAGGAAAGGATGAGAGAATTGAAGAGCAATGCAGGAAAACCTAAAATTCAAATGAACATCCAGAAGTATAAAAATATCTGGTTGAAAGCAAATAATTTTATAGAACATTTATTAAAATGGTAGAAGTAATTTTATTTAACAAAAGAGTTTTAGTTAGCAGATTTAAAGGCTTATTCCATTTCAGTATGACTGAGCAGAAATACTGGTAAAAAAATCTTGAACTCTAAAAAGAAGCAAGAAATCATAAAAACGTTCAGAAAGAAAAAACATTTAACACCAAAAGAAAAAGAATTCATTGGACGTTATAACTCTCATTGCTAACAAATGATTTGGAATGTTCCACATCAGAAGACAGTAGAATAAAATCTAATGAATACTGAATTAGAAAGAAAAAAAAGACACATCCAGAAATTTTCATGAGTTTACTGATTTGCATAAGTTTAGAGCCTGTACTCACCATCTGCCCCATATGAAGAATAACATTGGCATTAATAGATTCTGTAGTAGATTGGATTTACAGACTGCACACGCAACAATTTCTATCTCAATTTTTTCTTTTTAACCTTCCCTTTTCTAGTGACCCTCTTTTTTTTTTTAAATTCCTTCTCCCATTTTAGAAAGTGTTCTGCTTGACAATCCTGATCGTCATCTATTGAACTAAATTTCATAGTTGCTAATACTTCAAGTGTTCGTTTTTGCTAAAGGGATGACTGACATTTGGAAATGTACAGAGAAATAACTTTATAAGTTTGAGTTAAAGCTTTTTTTCTGTTTCAGAAGTAAAGACATCTGAATGATCAGATCCAACTGATATAACTTATTGGCGTGATTGGATATGGATGCATGGAGGATAAAATACACAAGAAAAGAGATTTCAAGATACTTTCATGAAAATTCATTACTAATGGAAATATAACTAAGATATTTAAATTTATTTATGAAGCATAAAATACTGATATATTATGTGACATATGGCATTTTATAAACTACATGATGCCATTTTTATCTTGCAAAATGAATGACATGGTTTACTTCATCACTACTTTTATTCTATTACTTCAGAAACAATTATTTTTTATGTCTGTTCAACTAAATAATACATTATTGGCTTCATACATTGTGGGAGAGAAGGAAAAATATAACAAGACTTTTTTTCCTAGTTTATTGCTTTTTATGCGTACAAGTATATTCACTTTAACAGCACTTCACATTTATTTAAATTTTAAGCCTTCTTTATATTTGAGCCAATGTTAGTAATTTCTTTAATGTGTATCTCATTGGCTATCTATATATTTATATTTATATCTACATATCTACATCTATTTTTCTATCTACATTATAGACTATAAAAGTATGTTTCTAATGAGAAAATTAATCATAGCAAGTTTTTTAGAGGCTGAGTCTTACTCTGTCTCCTAGTCATTATAGTGCAGTGGCACAATCATAGCTCACTGAAGTCTTGAACTCTTGGGCTCAAGGGATCCTCCCACCTCAGCCTTTCAAGTATCTAGGACTACAGGTGCATGTTACTACGCCCAGCTAATTTTTTTAAATAAGGTCTGGCTATGTTGACCAGGCTGGTTTCAAACTCCTGGGCTCAAGTGATTTTTCTGCCTTGAATTTTCAAAGTACTGGGATTACAGGCATGAGCCACCACACCTGGCCTTTTTTGCATGCTTAATAGAAGAAATAAAAGTTTCTTAATTATAAAAATAGGTTATTAACAGATAATTTCTATCTTGTTAAGTAATCATTTTTACATGGATTTTGTATTGTCAAATAAAAAGCATTTTTGATAAATATAAAAATATGCTTTTGTATTTATGAGAAAATATGAAAAATAGTTACTTTAGAAAACTAAATATTCTTGTCAGTTTGGAAATATAAAAAGTTACATTCAGCCTATAAATGTATAGATTCTGAGAGTTAAAATAATGTTAAACTCATCATGCCAATAAGCTTTGCAGACTCAATTTGAAACCTATACTATGATGGCTAAGCAGTATTACAATTACAGCTCACTAACATATATGACATGCTTGATTTAATAATAAAAGTACCTTCAAAGAGATAATGAAAAATAAATCATAAGTTCTAAACAAATTTTACAAAAGATACAATTTTAGTACTCATACTATCACACAACATACAAACACAGTCATATAATCTGCTTAGCTTTTTTGCCATATTGATACAATTTAGGAAAACATTATAATTTATGTCATATATTTTGTTTGGATAAGTTCAATAATGTCAACAACTCAAATGATGTGGATCACAACTGCAAAATTCAATGGATTACAATGGAAACTATTGCCTAAAGCTCAAACTGAAAACATCCTATCACATTTCTTGTCCACTCTATCTATTGATCAATTATTCAATCATTTGCTTTATTCATTTACATTTGAGACTAGAGATTTTTAGCAGCATTTTTCTTTTCTTACATAAAATATATGCTTCAATATATTTAACTCCCAATAACTGACTTCCTTTTTTATACCACAAAAATTACCAAAGTCAAAACAACCTTATTTCATTTCTTACAGTGGAATTGAAAATTTAGAATAAAAAAAATTTAAAAGATCATGTAGTATCTTATCCTGTGTCCTCAGCAAACACGACTGGGCATAAATGCGCATGGTGTTCACCACCTGCCTCACTCCTTTTTAGTTTTACTTGATCAAAATGAATGTATATTTTGATGTATGATCAAAATGAGTATAATTATCATAAAAACTCTGAGCACCCCTGGTTATGCATTTGGGGTTGATAGATAATTTATGAGCAACTAATTATATCACTAATTTTTTTTTTGCCAAATTCTAAACAAAATTACAGGCTTAAGTAGACATAAAAAGTGGGAATTAAGGAGGTATTCTGCCTAGCAATCTAGTAAATTTCTTAGGTAAACCAATGATTCATCATTTAAACTCTTAAATAAATTTCCTGAACCAAACATTCCATTAATGTATCCAAATTTCAAAACTCTACATGTAAGAATCTAGAAATTTTTAAAAAATATTTAATCCTGGATGTTAAATGCATGCATAACTACTTAATTAGAAAAATGGTGCTAATATTATGTATATGTGTGTATGTGTATTTTTAATCACTAGCATATTTAAGCCAATGTGATGTAAGAGGAGAGAGAGCAGTTCAAATTAAACTGAACAAAACAGAACTTTTAAAATATCTATTGATTTTCTACCTTTCAAAATACATTCATAAATCATGATCATTGCATGTCATTCCTATGTGCCTTGATTCTGCAAACTATAATCTAATCTTTTCCCTCACCCTCCAGAAAAGAACATTTTTCCTAGCATTTCTTCTTACTTATACATTATACTTACTTTACCTTTTTTTATTAGCCTACAATATTGCTCTCTGTACACATGATGATGACATCTCAAGGTCAACAAAATGAACTAATGAATAATAATACTTTTGCTCTCAGTGAGATTCTTGCACACAAGTTTAGTAAACCAAGAAAAAATAAACTCTCAAGCACATCAATGTTTGCAAGCTTCTAACTCTGATTTCTGAAACATTTGAGACCAAAAATCCTTACGCCTACAAACACTTTAAATTTATTATTGAAAATTTATATAGACTATTTTTGCTGCGTATTTTCTATATTCTATACCCACAAGAACACTCCAAATTATCTGACATTTGTATTCTGGATAAACCAAATTGATAAATGTTTTGTAATTTTCATTTCCTATGAAATCAAGAGCAATATTATACTGGTAATATTCATAAAATGATTAGTCCTGTCTCATTTATATTTATTACTCTTTTCTATTTTGATAATTTTTCAAATATTCTGATTATTCATTACCACTACTTACACAATTGATTGGCTATAATGAATACTGTGAGCTCCAGTCAACTGAAATAGCTTTTCTTTATGGGGTTAACATTGGAAAAATAATAAAAATGTGGCAGGTAAATATACTGAATCAGAGAGTGCAAAATATGGATTGGAACAGGACAATTGAAATGAAAAAAAGAAAAATTATGAAAGGCTTTATTGGAAGAGATAAATGTACAAAAATAGCACATGTTAGCAAGAAAGAGTTTCTGTGAATCAATTGTACCTTTATACAGTGTTTCTTAATACCTTCTGCTGTTGAAACATGTTCTAAAGAAGTTCTAAATTCAGTCTTTAATGGAATGCACCTTCGCTGAAGGGTAGCAACTTGACACCCTTCTTTCAGGAGAGTTTGAATTGCATAATGGAAATATCATGACATTAACCAAAGGTGTTCACTAATAACTGATCTGAATTAAATAGGTACAAACCAAAGGCAAGGTACCCTTAGGAATTTGAACATAGAATAATAATGGCCTAATTTATTCAGAGTATAAAGTGCAGCTTAAGTTCAGCAAAGTAATTATAATTTCTATCTTGCAGAAATGTTTTATTTTAATCAGTACAGTCACGTTATTTTTCTCTGGTAATAATTGCTTGGTATCCATAATACACAATATCAATCTATCTACCTACCCATTCACATCTTCAGTCATGAATGTGAAAGGTGCTGTCACTTAGATTTAAAATAAAAATCTAGATTGCTATTTACTGCAAAGTCTCTAAATCAATAAACTAACTCTATTAAACTTATTTTAAATAACATATATGCAAAAATGAGGATATTTAAAAGCCAATAAATGTAGGACAGTGCTGAGATTTAGAATGAATTATAAAAATAGTACAAAGGAAAATTCTAGTTAGTAATTTCTGTTTTGAAACATTTGGATAATTTTTAGTAGATCTAAAAATTTCTGAGTAATCATTTATCAAAATTTGTAAATGCAGCTACATTTATTCTATTTCTATTTTTAATTAATATTTCTTAAATAATATGAAGCAAACTATTTATATATGAGTCAATTTCAAAGAATAGTAATGTAATTTGAAACAATGTGCTTTCAAAATAATTGACAATGCATTGCTATTTATGTAATTATCAGAAGTGCCTGACTTATTTTCTTTTCCCCTATTAATTGCAGCCATGCTTGCCTTCACTAGATGCTCGAGAATTAGGAATGGTTTAATGTCAAAAAATATTCTAAATGCTTACAATTAGAAAAAAAACATATTGTTCCTGTTAACTCATAATTTTTTAATGTTCAATAACAATTTATTTAATAAAATGGATTGTCAAAAAAGGGGATTTTGAAAGTCATCACCTTCATTAAAAATGATTTATTTGATTTTATTCACTAATTTGAGTAAATTATTCATCATGCTAGATACAATTTAAGATTAGAAATGAAAAAAATTGGAACTTATGTTAGACTTATTTGTCCATTTTGATGAATTGTTGGCATGTTTAATTTATTGTTGAATCAACAATCTGAGTTTTTCAAAGATAAAAAAAGCTGGACATTAGCCAAAGTGATGACACCAGATTTTACTCAGTTACTAGTGAATAACAATGTAGGAAAAAGAGTAGAACTCTATTCTGATTTGTGCAGAGATTATGGGACGTTGTAAGCAGATAATGAGGGAGTAGCAAGAGGAAATGAGCCAGAGGCAGAGAAGTGAAAAATTATAAAGAATTGGGTAGTGTAAATGCGATTATGCCAGCTATGTAGATCATCTGGCAACTATCAAAATATATATATATATTTTTTTTTTCTGGGAGATGGAGTCTCACTCTGTCACCCAGGCTGGAGTGCTGTGGCCTGATCTTGGCTCACTCCAACCTCCACTTCTCAGGTTCAAGCAATTCTTCTGCCTCAGCCTCTCGAGTAGCTGGGACTACAGGCGTGTGCCACCATGCCTGGCTAATTTTTGCATTTTTTAGTACAGACGGGATTTTACCACATTGTTCAGACTGGGCTCGAATTTCTAGCCTCAAGTGATCTGCCCGCTTCAGCCTCCCAAAGTTCGGGGATTACAGGTGTGAGCCACCACACCCAGCCTCAAAATTAGGATTCTGTTTTTCCATTGATACTAATAAAGAGAATCCTTATTCTTCATGATGATTACATTTCAAAAAATGGCTTTCAGGTCAGGCCATTGATAGAGACACTCCTGAGCATTAGGAGATACATACTTATATAACTCCAAGGGACAGAGAAAAGATTTATAATTTTGGTCAGGCATGGTGGCTCATGCCTATAATCCCAGCACTTTGGGAGGCCAAGGTGGGCGGATCACATGAGGTCGGGAGTTCGATACCAGGCTTGCCGACATAGTGAAACCCCATCTCTACTAAAAATACAAATACTAGCCAGGCATGGTGGCAGCCGCCTGTAGTCACAGCTACTGGGGAGGCTGAGGCAGGAGAATCGCTTGAACCCGGGAAGCAGAGGTTGCAGTGAGCCAAGATGGCACCGATGCACTTCAGCCTGGGTGACAAGCAAAACTCCTTCTCAAAAAAAAAAAAAAAAAGATTTACAATGTTAACCTTTCCTTTAAGTAAATTCTCTAGGAAAGGGAAATGTTGGCTGAATTAAACAGTAAATTCTTTTGACAGTCTTGAGTTTTCTCAGACAGTCATTTTAAGGAAGGCTGGCCTCCTAGGGTCAAGGCCTTAAGCTGTTAGAAGCCATGCTAGAATTTGGTCAGGTCTGTAAGTGCAGGGATTTGGGTAAAGTTGTTAAGTGCCAGGAGGTTTTTGAAGTTCTCAAGTTAAAGCAGGCTAAATGGGTGGATGAAAAAGAATTGAAACTGATGCAATGCTAGCAGGTACTACTTCTTGGGAAAGCATAGGAAGCAAACAGACCAAACAAAATTAAACAGAAATGGATTGATTTGTTCAACAACAACAAAAACTCAGAACAAGAGAATATGTGAATACTCATATAATTAATGACAATAGTTAAGACTTTATCACTCAAATTAGAATATCATAAATTAGTTTTTTGTAAGGTTATGAGAATTACTTACAAATTCAACAAGCTTTACTCTTGATTAATAGCATGAATAATAAATGGGAATAAAATACATCAAATTAATATTAAATAGCATTTTCTAGGCCACCAGTTCTCATCAGTAACAGCAAAGTCAACAGATTAGTTACAGTAGCTATCTTGTTTTTTTGTTTTTTGGATTTTTTTTTTGAGACAAGGTCTCACCTTGTGCCCAGGCTGGAATGCAGTGGCACCATCCCAGCTCACTGCAACCTCTGCCTCCTGGGCTCAGGCATCCTCCTGCCTCAGCCTCCCATGTAGCTGGGAGTATAGGCACATGCCACAATGCCTGGATTTTTTTTTCTTTTGTATTTTGTGTAGAGTCAGCATCTCATTATATTGCCCAGGCTGGTCTCAAACTCCTGAGCTCAAGCAATCTGCCCATCTCAGCCTCCCAAGGTGCTGGGATTACAGGAGTAAGCCACCGCTCCCAGCCAGGACCCCACTTTTGCACTAGGAACATTCCATTGTGTTACTTGACCCCAAAATACTTGCTCTTAATGTTCACTTTTCTTACTACAGATTTTTACTTGAATTTATTGAAGTAAAATTCATGAGTTTGATGAGTTTCCACAAATACACATTCCTATGTAACTGGCATGAAGATACAGGCCGTTTCCGTCACTCGGAAAGTTTCTCTATTGCCCTTTGCTGTTAATGCCCAGACCAAGGTTATCACTGATGCTATATCTGTCACTGTAAACTAATTTCATCTTTTCTAGATTTTCATAGAAATGAAATATTATGGTGTGAACACTTTTGTGCCCATTTCCTTTTGAACATCTTACTGTTTTAGAGATAAATCTATGGGTTGGCATGTTGCAATAATTTACTACTTTTTATTAGAGTATTAGCTCATTGTATGGATATACCACAATTCATTTATTCATTTACTGATGAATGGAATTTTGAGTTATTTGCAGTTTGTTGTGATTAACAGCTTAAAAGTAAATCTTCTCTGGATATTCAACTACAAATTTTGATGTGGATGTGTGTTTACATATTTTTATTTTTAGAACTTTATATAAAGTTACTGTTTCATTGCCTATTATCTTCATATGTTTGAAAATAATTCAGTAGTACATTTTATAACTGTTTTATTTATATCTATATGTTTTATCTACATTTCAATTTTTTTCTTTATTACTAACTTTCTGCAATGAGATTAAAATAGGCCTTAGTGTGGTCATTGCTTTTCACTTGTTATGCTTTTTAAAAATCTCTTTCATGGTCTACAATTGTACATCTTTTAGCTAGTCTGAACATTCTTTACTACTGGTTATGGGATCTCTAGTTGGGCTTTACATCATTCCAGAAAATGCCTGCAAGCAGAAGCTAGGGGAAACTCCCGGCTCTCTCTCTATCTCTTTATTTCTCTCTCTGTCTCTCTCACTCTCTTTTTAAATTTTCTTTTTGTCAGGGATTAGAGACCTGTGCTCTTATTATCAATGTATGAAAACCATTGATTTTCATCCACTTTTCTAGTTACTTATGATGAGATCACAAGTTAGATCCCAAAAACTCTTTCATCTTGGCCAGAACTGTGTACAGTTTATATCTATATACACACACACATATATATATATATGCTGTATATATGTTTATACTTATGTTTATATAAACTGTATATATATTTATATATATAAACTGTACACAGTTCCTGTACAGTTTATATATATATAAACTTTAACACATATATAAAAGAAAGTTTTATTTTTGAAGTAATTTTATTATTAATGCATTTAAAATTAATGCATTAGAAAAATTACAACATTCTTAACTTTTACAATATATACAAATATATATGTAATCTGAAATACATACATATGCATACATATATACATATACAATACACAAATTTAACTTACACATATCAAAAGGTAATGGAAGTACTTTGTAAAAGGATTAATGATTTTTTTAGTAATGTAATATTTTTTGAAGTTGATACAATTAAGAATATTATGAACCATGAATAAGAATGAGATTTGTTATGTGTGAACGCACCCTTTTTACACAGAGTATATATGGAGTCTCTGTTTTAGTAAACATCTGGTATTTAAAAAGGCTGTTAGAGTTTGAAACATTTTGAGCAACAGATTGTCAGTGTCTTATCAGGAATAGAAGCTTTGTCTTGTAGAACACATCTCAGATTGAGAAATGCATTACAGTTGGTTCAGTGGTTTATTCTGCTCATCTGCCTGGAGATGAAACTTTTTTGGACCCAGTTTATTTTGCAATGACTTAATTTTATCACAGTTTGGAGCACCTGTTTTTGTATCTCTTATTACATATTCTACATACATCCCTAGTAAAGGGAAATTAAGCAGAAACAAACATAAATTGATAACTGGTAGTGTAATGTATTTCATAACCTAAAATCTTGCTGTTTTTAACCCCATCCTGTCATTGTAATTTACTGTAATATTTCTAAAACATAGGTTCTCACTGCTCTTCTTTTTCTGCAGCTTTACACACAGGTGCAGGTTTGAAGCAGTAGAAAAGATGAAAGACAGTTTATGATGCAAATAGTAGTATCATTTACCCTACCCCAACCCTGTAATTGACCTGATGGAGCATAATGTTAAGATTCTCTCTGAATTCACTAAAAGCCACCGGGTAAATATATAGCAAGGAGTATTTTATTGACACAGCAGACCCTAATAGCAGTCTATCTTTAAAAAATACATACTATTTTCTTAACAGAACCAACTGAGGTATTCGTTCTGTAAGTGCATCTTTTCCTTTGCTTTGAGATGAGAAATACCATATCATTTTGTTTTCTGCTACACATTAGCCATAGTCTTTAAAGGCTTCATGCAAAACAGAATAAATCATCCAGACATGTAATATTCACAAGCATAGCAGTTTAAGTAAAATTAGTAGTATTTCTTTTAATTCAAATTCCTGATAGATTTTTTTAAGCCAAGTGCCCAAGAATGTAATATCAATATGTCTATTTAAATAAATTTAGCTGACTAGTTTCTGGATACTTTTTTGATAGCTGAAATATATCTAGAAAAGTTGTATCTTAATCCTTAATGTTCAGGTGTCTTTTCTACCTAAGTAGATAAATGTATAAAAATAATCTTTTATTTGGCTCTATCTCTTACAAAAGTGGAAATTTTTTTGAAAAAGAAAGCAGCACTGACTGAAATGAAATGAAAGGGAAAGAATTTGTTGACCCTTTATGTAAAAGGTTGCAGGAGAAGGTCATATAATCTTGAATATTTGACAAATAAACCTTCCTAGTGATAAGACAATGCTCAGAAGAAAGGCCATATATTTAATGAAGACAAGATTTAAAGGGACAAGTATTGAGACAATCAGATAATCTATGTAGATGTTTTTTGAGCTTATTTAAGCTATCTCATGTTGTAACAAATTGAAAAGAACATATTATTAGTTTAAATAATTCAAAATGTAGCCATGCTCAAGGCTTTCCTTTAAAAGTGTTAATATGAAAATACACAAATACATATGCTCGACATATAATTTATTTCAGATATATTGTGAGTTTGGTCTATCAGTTTGCTTATATTTGAAGCAAGGAGTCACAAAACAAAATTCCAAATCTTCTGAACACTTCATTGAGGCCATTATGCTTTAGTCAGTATGACTGAACGTTTGCAATACTCTTAAAATGAATTTATCTTTTTTGCAAAACTCAAGTTGGCACATTTAAATCTGAGATAGACCCCAGTGTTCCTTTTGGAGATAAAATAAGTAAGTACCATACTTGTTTGATACAGAAGTATTCAAAGCGTCTAGCGTTTCATAAGTTTCCTTATGCCAAAATAAAAAAAAATAAATTCATACAACATACTAGTACGAAAGTGAAATAATATTATACTTTGCCCATTTGGCTTTCTACTTTGACAAACCATTATATCTAACACAATTCTAGAAGATAATGTCCTCTAATACAAAGATCTGTTATGCGTTTTAATATTAGGCTTTTCTGTTATCCAACCTTAAATTAATAAGCAACTTGCATTGTTAGGAACACTGTTGCTGGTCAATGCAGATGTCCTTTTCTTTTTATCTCCCTTTCTTTTCTCTTCCACTTCACAATGATCTCTAATTGAGGTTATTTGATGTCCTGTACATTGGTACCAAGAATTCCAGGATGCATTTAGCCAAAGTGGATTGCTCAACTAAGCTCTATTCAGAGATATGATTATGGTCACTCTTCAGTTGACTTCATGGTAATTAAAAGCAGGTTAACTAAATGAGAGACTTGAGAATTCATTTGAGTTAATTCATGTGAATATTTATTTTGATGTATCATCAGGCAATGTTAGCTTTATATTAAAAAGAAGTGATGCCCTTTACACAGCCAGAATTAATTCATTATTCATACGAAATATTTGGTATAATCTAAAGTGAGATAAGTAGTTAATAACAGAAGTCAGTATAGTTTTTAAAAGTTCTAGTTGTAAGTTTGTAACATTATAGTAACAAACTGCCTCATAATAAAAATTTTATTTACTTGATACATAATATTGGGAGGTGAATCATGTGCATACTATAGGGAAGTTCATTGCACACAAAAAAAGAGAAAAAAGAAAGAAACAGAGAAGGGGAAGGAAGGAAAAAAGGAAGGGAGGAAGAAAGAAAGGGAGGAAGGAAGGGAGGGAGGGAGGAATAAAGGAAGGAAGGAAAGAAGGAAGGAAGAGAGGGAGGAAAGGAAAGGAAGGAAGGATATGAGGAAGGAAGGAAGAAAGGGAAGAAGGGAAGAAGGAAGGGAGAGGGGGAGGGAAGGAAGAAAGGAAGGAAGAATATAAGGAAGGAAGGAAGCGAAGAAGGAAGGGAGAGAAGGAAGGAAGGAAGGAAAGAAGGAAGGAAAGAAGGAAGGGAGAGAGGGAGGAAAGGAAGAAAGGAAGGATATAAGGAAGGAAGGGAGGAAGGAAGGGAGAAAAGGAAGGAAGGAAGCAAAGAAGGAAGGGAAAGAATGAAGGAAGGAAGGAAGGAAGGAAGGGAGGAAGAAAGGAAGGGAGGAAGGGAGGGAGGGAAGGGCGGAGGGACGAAGGAAGGAAGGAAGGAAAGAAAAGAAGGAAGGAGAGAGAATCAGGCACAAGCATGTGCATCTTCACTGACAATTAATTCTGTAAGACTTGTTTTTGTTTGGTGGGAAAAGAATAAGGGAGCAAAGGTAATCATTTAAATTTCAGAAGGCTACCTAGCAGTTTTTTTTTAATAAGGATTATCTAAAATTTAGTTATATAAATTTAATAATTAAATTATATATACAAACGGAGGTACAAATTATTCAAGACATAAACTTCCTAATTATTTTATTAAATTTTATTATCTGTATTTTTGAGATTATGTATATCTATTTTATTTGTATAGCAAAAACTACTTTATAGTAATGTACTACTGAACTTGTCTTTCAACTTCACATTCAGTGATAACATTTTGATTGCTTGAAATAAGCCATGCTAGTATTTACACTGTGGAAATGAGCAAGTACTACCTATCAGAGTTTGAGTTATTGCTTTGTTTATTCTTTAGATTTACAAAAGTAATGGTTCTATCACGTGAATTGTGAATAGCAAAAAGAATAAATAAAAGAGGAGAGCAAGAGAGATAATATGATTGTAGTATTCAAAAAGTATGATTCAATTCAGCAAAGAAGCACTGATGTACTTGATAAATGAGTAAAATGTGAGCATATGTCTTTGTTATTCTACTTTTGTCTTACTCATTAACCTGTACATAAATGTAAAAGAATTTTGTGAGCCTCAGTTGGATATGTAAAATCTGTAATAAAGGGTATTGTATATTTTGTTAATATTTGTAAATTATGTGTTGCGTAATCTTTATATCAGTAGAAGTTATAATATGCATAGACATGTTTGTTTGTTTGTTTCAGGAAATAGTTATTAAACATTTAACAGCTGACTATTGTCTAGGACACATATACCTAAAACCTGTTTTGCAATGAAATCTCTAGTGCGTTCTCAAAGAAAGATGTAATGGTGGGAAAGCTTGTGAGTGCACACTCCTGGTCTGTTGATTGTGGCTAAGCAAAGCATGAGATAAAAGAGAAAATATTTCTCAGATAAGCTATATGTAAATTTAGATGCATATGGTAACCACAATTCTAACCTGGCCTCCATGATTGCTGTCCCCTGGTATACAAATGTTTGTTCAATAACTATTCTTGATTGTGGGCAGGACCTGCAACTTGCATCTAGCCAATAGAATATCTCAGATTGAAGGAATTTCAGAGATGAGATTATGGTCCCTCTTCAGTTGACTTCATGGTAATTAAAATTAGATTATTTGAGGTGAGTCTATTCTAATCAAGTGAGCCCTGTAAAGAGGATCAGAAGCAAGAGAGCAGAAGCAATGCATTATCTCTCTCCTTCTCTTCTCTCCATTACTGGCTTCAAATCAAATAAGAAAGTTATACAAGGAAAGGAATTTTACGAACAACCTGAAGAATCTTGAAAGTGGAATCTTCCTTAGGCAAGTCTAAAGATGAGAATGCATCCTGGCCAACACCTCTATTACAGCACAGCAAGATCGTGAGCACAGAACCTAATTAAGCTGTGACCAATAGAAGCTGTGAGATTGAAATTTAGGTCATTTTAAACTCTAGGTGTGTGGTGTTATAAATGTGTATGTATGTGTGTCATGTGTATCCAATACATACAATACAGTACAGTCACAAAAAATATGTAATGTATGATTCTATTTATATGAAATATCCATAATAGAAAAATCTACAGAGATGGAAAGGAGCTTAGTGGTTACCTAGGAATTGGGGAATAGAAGATGACTGCTAAAGGGCATGGCATTTCATTTTGGGGTGACAAAGTGTTCCAAAAATAATCTAAGGTGATGATTGCATAACTGTATATGTATAATACAAAATTATTTCATTGTATACTTCAAAGGGTTCAATGTAAAGTATTAAATTATAATTCAATAAAGCTGACTTAAAAATCTTAAAGAAATACTGTAATCCCAGCACTTTGGGAGGCCGAGGCGGGCAGATCGGAAGGTCAGAAGATCGAGACCATCCTGGCTAACATGGTGAAACCCTGTCTCTACTAAAAATACAAAAAAAAAAAAATTAGCCGGGCTTGGTGGCGGGCACCTGTAGTCCCAGCTATTCGGGAGGCTGGGGCAGGAGAATGGTGTGAACCCGGGAGGCGGAGCTTGCGGTGAGCTGAGATCATGCCACCGCACTCCAGCCTGGGCGACAGAGACTCTGTCTCAAAAAAAAAAAAAAAAAAACTTAAAGAAATAATGACATTCTAAGATGCATAAAAACTGAGAAAATTAATTGTTAGAAGACCAACCTATAAGGAATGTCAAAGAAAATTATTTCTGTAGGAAGAATATAGTATATTCAGAAACATGGTTCTACCCACAAACAAATTAAGAACATCAGAAATAGAATAATTTATAAAAAGATTTTATTATCATTGTAAGTGCTCTAAAATTTAAGTTTATATCCCATATGAAAATGAAATGGATGAAAAAATAGAGCAAGGAATGGGATGGAGTAATAGGGCATATGCTATCTGCTTCAGCAGTGGGATAATAATTAAAGGTAGAGTTGTATTATATTAAAAACGTACTTTTTAGAGTCTATGAAAACTACTATAAAAAAAAATAGAGGCCAGGGGGCAGTGGATCATGCCCGTAATCCCAGCACTTTGGGAGGCTGAGGCGGATGTATTACCTGAGGTCAGGAGTTTGAGACCAGCCTGGCCAACATGGTGAAACTCCGTCTCTACTAAAAATAAAAAAGTTAGCCAGGCATGGTGGTGGACACCTGTAATTCCAGGTACTTGGAAGGCTGAGGCTGGAGAATGGCTTCCCGGGAGGCAGAGGTTGCAGTGAGCCAAGATCATGCCACTGCACTCCAGCCTGGGTGACAGAGTGAGACTCCATCTCAAAAAAAAAATAAAAAAAATTTTTAAAAAAGAGAAAAGGAATCATAAAAAGACATAATTCAATTCAGAAAAAGAAGAGAAAGAGAAAACATAAAACAAGTGTAAGACAGCAGGGAAGATGGTAGATTTTAATATAAACAGGTGGATAATCACTTTAAATGGAAATGGTCTAAACTTACTAGTTGAAAGTAAACATAGATTATCAGATTTGATTAAAGAAACAAAGCAAGACCCAACATAATGGTGACTGCAAGCATCCCATTTTAGAT
The DNA here is from genome assembly GCF_000001405.40 of Homo sapiens. Taxonomy (NCBI): domain Eukaryota; kingdom Metazoa; phylum Chordata; class Mammalia; order Primates; family Hominidae; genus Homo; species Homo sapiens. Next base: position 131,592,973 of record NC_000004.12, on the reverse strand, counting down.
ACTGACATAGATAGATTAAAAGTAAAGTGATGGATTGTATAACATGCAGACACTAACCATGCGGAACATAGCTAAGTGGGAAATTAAATAATGACAAAGCGCCAATGCTACAGAAAGTGTAATAATCTCAAGTGTGTATCCACCTAATATGAATTTCAAAATACACAAGAAAAAATATTGGCACATTGGAAAAAAAAAGTAAAAGAAATAGAGATATCTAAAACTATAGTTGGAGACTTCAACACTCTTCTCTCAGTAACTGGTAGAGTAAGTAGGTAGCATGTCAGTGGTATTATAGATGGTTATAGATGATCTGAACCATCAGCTCTATCATACAACTTGGTCAAATTGATATTTATAGAAAAGGCCACTCAATAGCAGATACATATTATTTGCAAATCCACAAGAAAGACTAATCATGGTAGATCATATTTTATACCATAAAATAACTCTTAACAAATTTCAAAGATTAAAAATCATGCAAAGTATGCTTGTAAGCCAGAAAACAGTTATACTAGAATAAAAAAGATACCTGAAAAATCTCCAGATATGAAAAATAATATACATTTACATAACTCACGTGTTAAAAAATAAGTCTCAGATATATTTAAAATATGTTCAAATGAATGTAAGTGAAAATACAATATATAAAAATGTATGGATGTGACTAAAGCAGAAAAGAGAAAAATTTCTATCATAAGGCCTGCTGAGAACAAAAGCATGACCTAACTAAAATCTAGCAATCTAAATGTCCTCCATAAGAAGTGGCAAATTAAATACAAAACAAATTGAATGAGGAAATACTAAGTATAAGAGTAGAAATAAAAGTAGAAATAGCAACAATAAATGAAATGAAAAAAGGCAATTATCTGAAAATATCAATGTATTTGGTAAACCTTTTGTCATGCTGATAAAGAAAAGAGTAGAGAATAAAATGTCAATATAAGGAGTGAAAGAAGCTGACAAATATCAATAAGGTAATTATGCCAATACATTTGGCAACTTAGATAAAACAGACCAATTCCTTGACAGACAGAAACTACCAAACCAACTCAAGGAAAAATAGATAATTTTAATAGTCCTACATTTATCAAATACATTGAAATTTTAGTTAAACACCTTCCAAAAAAGAAAACCCTAGGGTCATAATATTTTACTGGTAAATTTTAATAAACACTTGAGCATTTAAGAAAGAAATAATATGAATTCTGCACAATTTCTTTCAGAAAAATCAAAGAATGTAGAAAACTTTTCACATACTCTATGAGTTCAGCATTACCCTAATACCAACAGCAGACACAGATATTACAGAAAAAGGAAACTGTAGACCTTTTTGAACACACACACACACACACACCCCCACTTCCACGCACAAACACAAGCATACACCCTCAAAAGAATCAAATGCAGAATGTAGTGAAAAAACTAAATTGAGGGATGGATAGATAGATGGATGAACAGTAGATTATAGAGATGGAAATAAATAATGCAATCTCACTGAGAGAAGTGGGGTAAAAGATCTGACCTGAGTAATATGGAAAACAGCGTTTGTATTTTAAAATGTAATGTTAATGACAAAATAATTTTATGTGGTGCCAGGCATGGTGACTCATGCCTATAACTCCCAGAACTTCAGGAGGCCAAGGCAGGTGGATCATTTGAGGTTAGGCGTTCAAGGCCAGCATGGCCAAAAATGATGAAACCCTGTAAATGCAAAAAACACAAAAATTAGTTGGGCATGGTGGTGTGCCTCTGTAATCCCAGCTAATTCGGAGGCTGAGGCACAAGAATTGTTTGAACCTGGAGGTGGAGGTTGCAATGAGCCGAAATCACACCACTGCACTCCAGTCTGGGCGACAGAGCAAGACTCCTTCTAACAAGAAAAAAAAAAAAAAAAAAAAAAAAAAAAAAAAAAAAAATATATATATATATATATATATATATATATATATATATATATATATGAACACTGTACTCTAGCTGGAAATATATATATATATATGTGAACACAGTACTCTAGCTGATAAATTCACTTATCACTCGAGTACAGGTTAGCAACTGACACTACTTTTAATTCATATGGCCTCTAATTTCAGTCAAAGTCAAATGAAATGACACCCAGCTTCTTTAGATCTTTAACAAATATGTAAACCAATAATCACATTTTGGCACAAATTAATTTTAAGACATTTCTTGAAAATAGATATTGATTTTGTTTAATAGAGAAGAGGGAGGTACTAGGTAGTTTAATTATAACATGGATGGGTTTCCTCAACTACCCATCAAAGAAACTCCACATATTGATAAATTGATAGGGACTGTGGAACCTTCTCTTTGGCAACAACTGTGGAGGCTGCTAATAAAGTCACTGGTTAATGAACTATTTCTAAAGCATGGTCTCTTATTTTTTTCTTTTTCTCTCTCTTTTTTTTTTTTTTTTTAAGATAGGATCTCACTCTGTCACCCAGGCTGGGACACAGTGGTGCAATCATAGCTCACTGCAACTTCAAAATCCTGGGCTCAAGTGATCATCCTACCTCCCCCTCCTGTGTAGATGGAGCTACAGGTGCATATCAACATGCCCAATTAATTTTTTATTTTTGTAGAGATTGGGTCTTGCTATGTTTCTCAGGCTGGCCTTGAACTCACAGGCTTAAGCAATCCCCCTGGTTAGGCCTCCCACAATTCTCGGATTACAGACATGTAGACATGAGCCTTGGCACCCAGCCATGGTCTCCTATTAAAGCCACTGAGCAAACATGGATAGCATTAAGAGAAATACCTAAGGTAGATGACGGGTTGATGCGTGCAGCAAACCACCACGGCACATGTATACCTACCTATGTAACAAACCTGCACGTTCTACACATGTATCTCAGGACTTAAAGTATAATAATAAAAAATAAATAAATAAATAAAAATAAATTTAAAAAAGAATGACAAATATTTATGTGTTCATTTGATTAAAGACTGACCCTTACTTCTTAGAAATATAGCCTTTTATTAAAATAAAATTGACAAACAGGAAAATAATATTTAAAAATCTAATATTTACTATTGTTTAAAACCAAAGTTATTTGGATTATGACAGATGATGTACAGCAAACAGTGTGAGTAATAGAGCCAAATTACATACATAGAAGTAAAAACATGAGTTTTTTTCTTCATAATTACATCTTTAATTGTATTTATTATAAACCTAGGGCAACAGTTCTTAAATTGCACTTCAAATTTTAAAATATGCAGTACACAGAGTTTATGGTACTATCAAAATCTTTGTTTTATAAGCCTGTTTCCTCTTCTTAAGCCTAAATTGCTTTGATAAGGTTAAACGAAAGATCAATACTTTCTAGGAAGAGCTAACTGATCTTTAACTGAGAGCAGTTCTCCATATTAAATGTTAAAATTGTAGTTCACTTCAATAATAATGTTTTTTATATATATGATGTAGTTTAACTGGAGGAAAAACCAAATAATCAAGAAAGTGTGGAAAAATATGTCTTCCCCTTCAACCAAAAAGAAACAACCTCAGAGTAATAGCTAAGAGAAAACCATACACAAAATGGATTATCTAATACAAGTTAAGTAAAAACATAAGAAACTATTACCTTCTTTAGAAATGTAGATAAGATCATTAGCCTGTGCTTTGACTGTATATCTAAACATAGACTTTATGAACATAGCTGACCATTTCTAGAACTGGATTTTATCTCAGTTTCTTATTTAGTGATTACAATGTATTTATATATATGTATGTGCTTGGTTACAGGTAATGATTTGCAAAAAGAAGTTGCTAATATTTCAATGATGTATAAATGTTACTTTCACCAGGAAATACACAACTAATGAAGAAAACGTGTTATTGGTTCTCACATTCAGAAATTAAATACAGAAATGGAAAGTATGCCATAAATATACAATGTTGTAGAACACGTATTTTTATTATTAGCTAACATAAAATTATATTTTACTATCTTTCATATTGTTAAATCTGCAATAAAGAGAAAGTCAATATTCCTTTTACCACTTGGTTTACTTTTATGTTAGTTTTAATTTTATTGAGATATCCATCTGAAGCAGTGTTAACACTCCAAAAACTCACTTCTGCACGTAAGTAAAAGGTTATGGAGAGATGGAAAGCTAAGAAAAATTTGCGTTTTGGGTTGTTCCAAAGTTTTCACCCTCAAATCTAATATACAGAACAAAAAATAGTTACCCAAACACTGTACCTCTTGGTGGTTCAAATAAATCAGGTTTCTTACTGTGAGTGGGAGGTGGGGAGACTGGATAAAGCATAATACATTAAAATTGGGCTTTTCCATGCATTTAGAAATACATCTCTTTTTACTGCTTTTGATTTTGGATTATCTATTTATTTAAAGGGAAATACAGCCAGAAATATAAAAATATTAATATACTTTACTGCTTTGTTTTATATACTTTGGGGCTGCTTTGTATATTAAACAAAGTATATTTGTTTAATATACTTTGGGGCTGCTTTGCTTTTTTAATCTCTTAGAGAACCGAAATACAGGTTGCATAGATTAAGTAAATAAATAAAATAAAAAATACATACTTGTGGCAGGTCTATATGCATTAAATTTGTTCCTTTCAAAAAATACATCTAAACAACTGAAGTTTCAAACAAATTTTTAGTGATTAGTCACTTCCTATATAGAAATATTGTTGCTTTCTATTTTCAAGAAGACCATAGTAAATACATAGAAAGAAGCCAATCGTTATAGGACAATTTTTATTTGACTGCTTTATTATGAGTGTATAGACTTTATTAGATAGAAATTTCTGTTAGCTGTGAGTTGCAGAGAGCAGAAAAAACATTATTTGAACAAATTAGGCTATATATATATTTTTCCTCGAAGGTGTGATGGCTTTATAATATCATAAGAAACCGAAGTTTCTCTTTCTGCTGTCCCATTCTTAGCGCGTTTCCTAAAGGTTCTGTTAGCCGCTGTAGCAGGATGGCAAAAAATAGATCATGGCTGAAATATGATACAAGTAAAAGTATCATTTATCAGAACAATAATATGAGATTTTTGGATGACTCTCACTCAACGGGTGACCCAGAGGATGGGATCTTTCTTCTTAGACTTGTCATCTTCAGCTTTAGACACAGATGTGGCATGCCTCATCTGGGCTCACATTCTGTTGGTTAGAACTATGCCTAATTCTAGTTAGAAAGAAGGAGATTGGGAAGGAAGGCAAAAGGCACACGGCAGCTGAGTGACTGCCTTGATACAATTCATTGGAAGGCCCTCTCAGTAACTGCTCCATATACTTTGGTCAAATGTGGTTGATTTTAAAACCACCATTTTTAAGGAGGCTGAGAAAAATATTTTTTGTCTTTTTGGTTGTTTGCTTTTTTATTTTATTTTTGGCTGAGCACATTTTCAACCCAAATATAACTGAACTTTGCATAATCAGAAAAAGGAAAAAAGATGGATGTTCATTAAACAACCAAGAGCTGTGCCCAAAACCACATCCACAGGACTGATTGTGCTACAGACAACCACAGCCTGTAAAATTGGATGTATTCTTCTTTATTGCTATTGATGTCATCAGTACTTTATTATATCTCAGAGCAGTAATTTCTACTTTATATTCAAGAACAGTCAATCATTATCTGACTTTCTAATATACAGTTTAATTATTATTACAACCTTCCACTCACTTGTAATGGCAGAAAAAGAGCTACTGATCTTCAAATAGGAAAATGAAGACATTTATGTTCCAGAAAATTTATTTGAAAAATTACAGCCTTCTTTATTGATATATACAAAATGAATATATCAACTAGTTATGACTCTCAATACACCTCCATAATAAGCCTTGCATAGGATGTAAGTACTTTAAAATAGCAATAACATAGCATAAAGAATATACAAAAGTTGTAGAGTCTCATTGTTATCAAGTTAGGTATTATAAGAGAAGACATAAGCTGGTAAATTAATGACCCATTCTTATGAAATTCCTAAGTCTTTCAGGCTTCTGATATTCCTCTCCAACAATAATCCATCTGGTCACCTATATCTGGAGATATCCACATGTCTTTCAATGGCCATAATTTGAATGTGTCGAGTGTGTCCATAGGAGCTGATTTGTCATTGAGTTACAGTTTGCATCTGTTCACCCAGCATCCTATTCAAGTAGCATACAGCCCTATTTTCACTTTTAAAAGTATCTCTGGTAGAATAATAATTTTAATGGCCACCCAGATATAAATCATGGACAGAGTCATGTGCTCACATAGGTTCTTTGGGAATAGGCTCTGTGGTTTTGAGATTCTCTGTTCTCTTGATTCCCACTGCAGTACCAGGTAACTAAACTATAAGGCAGATATAATCACAAATGAATCTCCTAAAACTCTTAGTACTAATAACAAAAATAATATTAGTTACCTCCATCAAGTAAGCATATCCATAACAGTTCAACTGGGTTACAGTGTTTTGTAATCCATGAGTCTGCAAAGTCAGCATTAACCCAGCCTAGAGCAAGGATTCCTAAATTTTCGTATAAATATAAATAACTCTGGAATTTTTTAAAATCTAGATTCTGATTCATTATGCCTGGGATGAGAATTGAGATTCTGCATTTCTAGCAAGAGTCTACTTGATATAGATGAGCTCATAAACAGATGACATACTGGCCTAGTCTATTCCAAGGTAATTAATTTGGGTTCCAAAAAATCAGGTGGTGTTACTTATCAAAATTAAATAGCCATACTAGTGTGTTCTTTGAATTCAGGTGTTTTGTTTTGGTACATAAAAGATGAGAGGTAAGTTGAGTTGAGCAAATGTTAGGTAGCTGAAACAAAAGATACTTATGTTCTCACAATTCTGGAGGATAGATCCCAAGATCAAGGTTTTAGTCGAGTTGGTTTTTCTGAGGGTTATCTCTTTGGCTTATATAGATAGGCTTCTTCTTTCTGTGTCTTCTGTATATGTGTCTGTGTCCTAAACTCCTCTTCTTATAAGGATATCAGTCATACTGGATTAGGACCCACCCTAACAACTTCTTTTAATTTATTTACTTCTTTAAAAACTCTGTCTCTAAATGCATTCATATTCTAATTACTGGCAATCAGGACTTCAACATATAAATTTGGAAGTAGACACAATTGGGTCCATAACAAGAGTATTATGTAACTTTTTTGCACATACAAAGTCAAGCACAATTTTTTCTTTTGAGTAGTCTTCTGAAGAGTATGGAAATGTTTATAATAATTTTAAAAATTCAAGGGTTAATATTTTTAATTACCTCATAACAGCACATTTTCTTCAGGTTTTGATTTTTTCAGTGCAAAATTATTAAATAAATGTTAGTATTTTCTTTAGGTTGAAGCTTAGACTGAAGACAGAATACTCATTGGGATAAAATCTATATGAGGTTGATATCAGATAGGGCCAATTGTGTTGTAGTAGAAAGAGTGGAATTTTTAACCAAACTGCTCTGTTATTTAATAAATGGTCATAGGGAATTATTAAGACAGCATACATATGATAAAGTGTAGTAGGTATATTTTAAGATGTGGGAAAGACTGAAGGAAATATTATACAATAGAAAGAGGATGAGCTTTGTCTTTATAGCTGTGTAAATATGGGCAACTCGTTTCACTTTTTTAAACTACTGTAACCCTTTGTGTAAAATGAAGATTACAAAGCTTAAATTGAATAAATTTTACACGTGTGTTTATGTAATTGTCCTTATATATAATAAAGTCTCAAATATTAGTGTCAAATTATGACTTTTGTGGTAGAAACTCATCCTATTTTCTACCATTATAAGATTTAGACATTTTTCAAATTATATGTATATGATGACTGCAAAAAAAAATTCCACAAAAATCATGATGAAAAATAGCAAATTAAATATACAGGCAGAGTAAGATTCTAGCCAAAGTCCATACCTCCACCATGTATAAAAACTTATAAATAATTACCTGAAGCCTAATGTTATTTTTATGTTCATTCATAATCAAGGATGTTTTACATTTTCTGCTTCCAAGGGCAGGTTGGTGAAGCAGAAATCAAAGAAAAGGGGTGTAAGGGAAACAACTGCACTTTAGTCAGGAGTAGGCCAAGGCAGCCTTCCACCACAGCATGACTCAGTGGGTTTAGAGCGCAGGTGCACAACTCCACAGATTATGTAACCACGCCACATGAGGCCCATTAGGTGATCACCCACATGAGTTCCTGCTTGGCTCAGAGCCACTATTATCTGGAAAAGGTATAATTACCCCGGCAACGCTGTACATATGGCTCACTCATGCCCACAGCTCATGCACAGGCTTGCTTGCACCCAGAGAGAGAGTAAAGCCATGTGAAAACTGTCTACGATTCCTTGAGTGTTTTTCCAGCTACCTGCCACTCACCCACCCACTCCCCTCGGACCTCAGTTAGAACCTGACAATTGGCGTTACAAACAAGATCCCGAGATGCGTGAGCCTTCAGTCCCTGCTGATTCCGGGTCAGCCATGTGGCCACAACATGGGTTATGGTACCCCATGGCAGGTCTGCTGCTCAGATGGGCTCCGATGGAAACCTGGGGGTGATAGATGGGTCCCTTGTGAGCATGGAGAAGGCACTGAAGCAGTTGGAAGCACAGAACACTGAGAAGGAGTGAGCTTTTGCCAGCAGAGTTGGATGGGCATTTTTCACTGCACTATGAGAAGTACACACACAGTCCCTGAGGGAGGCAGTTATGGTAAGGGCTCTCCAGGCACAGATAGGGTGCCTGGAGGCCTGGCAACATAGTTCAGAAAAGGAATTAGAGGCTGCTGTGAATGCAGGTTTGGGTCCGTCCTCTTGGCTGGAGACCTGTGTTTGGTCTAATACTGAAAAGGATGAACCCCCATTGCGGGCTCACCCAATGGTCCATCAGAAGGTAGATCATCAATAGCTGTTGTGGCCCCAAGGGCAGGCTCAGGGACCCCCACACTGTAATACAACATACTTCATATACTTCCTATGCCCCAACTGAGTTGCAGGAATTAGGCAAGCAGTGCTGCCAGCATACAGGGGAACTTCTGCCCACCTGGATGCTTCTTTTGTGGGATGAGGGAGCGGATAAATATCTCTTGTCCTGCCTCTGAAATGGAAAAGCTGGCCTCTATCACAACTCACCCCTCTCTCCATCAGCAATTGCAGGTGAGCAGGCGGTTGACACAAAGGAAAGGTGACCACACCCTGAATGAGTGGCTATGGGCAGCCATATGGATTGTGTGGAACAACGCTGGTGAAACACCCGCAACCATGAGTAAATGGCAGTTTTATGCAGATTTGGTGCAAGCCATCCGGGAGATGGGTATGAGGCAGGCTATGATTGATCTGAACACCAGGAGGCCAGATGATGAACATTTCACCTCCCACACGAGGAATCTTGTGTTGGGTTCTGTGCCCGAGTGCCTTTGGCTCACTAGATGCTGTCCTACTCATGCATAGGGTGCCACATATGTGAAGTAACCACTGCTGTGGAGGCTCTCTGGGAAGCAGAAGGCCATGAATGGGACCAAGGGGTCCACACCATAAAGAAGGGGATGATACCCCATCCACAAGTGTGCCCCCATGGGAGAAAAAGGGGCCCCAACAAGTGACATGCTTACAGATGTGGATAGATTTGATTTTGGCCAGGGTTGACTGACAGAAAATTGATAAGCAGCCTAATGAAGTACTCTTAATTTTGTGGAGACAGTTGTTTCCAGAGCTGCAATTCCAGAAAATGCCCAAGGGAAAGAACGACATTGCTGCGCAACCCAGTACCCCCTGGGCATTTCAGCTCAAAGACTGCTTGCTGCAGCCAGGTGGAAATGTAGAGCTTTTTCTGTTTGAGTAGGGAACTGGAAGAGGTGCCTGTCTTGGGGGGACATTGGATGACCAGAGGCCAGATGTGGAATTAGCAATCCACCGATCCCTCACCAATGTACAGTGGGTGATGGCCCTAGTGGATACTGGTGCAGATTGCAGCCTTGTTTATGGGAACCTGGATAAGTTCCATAGTACAAGCTAAGTGAACACATTAAGGACTGGAAATCTCTGAATTTAACTTAATTTGGCTAATTTATATTTCGTAATATGAAAATGAGAGCTTTTGCTAAAATAAAGGGGGAATTACATAGAAATACAAAATATTAAGCTTCCTGTTAGGGCTATGTTAAAAACTAATGTCAGAGATTTTCACACCTGAGTTGATTTGACTGCAACACTTTTACTTACTAGATCTTGGAGTCAACTTTCAGATTATGTTTAATGAAATGTAATCTTTATTACTTTGTTTGGGCTACAATAACAAAATACTACAGTCTGGGTGGCTTAAACAACAGAAATTTGTTTTCTCATAGTCTGGAAGCTAGATGTCCAAGGTCAAGGTGCCCTCAGAGTTCATTTCCAGTAAGGCGTCTTTTCGTGGCCTGCCTGTACATGACCATTTTCTCATCGTGTCTTCATGCGGGATTTTCGTGTGTGCAAGCACAGAAAACTCTCTGATATCCTTTTATCTTCTTATAAAGAAACTAGTCCTATTAAATTAGGTCTCCATCGGCATAACTAGTTTAACCTTAATTACCACTTTAAGGGCCATATATCCAAATACAGTTACATTCGGGGTTAAAGTTTCAAAATATAAATTTGAGGAAACACCATTTAGTCTAAACCAATACTCCCAAGACTTTAAAAGTAGATTCTAAAAAGTAAAAGTCCCCTAATAATGGTTTTCCCAGAATCAACTACTGTAAAGATTTAGTTATACTCTGTATTGAGATTCATGGTACATTAAAGCATCAGCAAGTCAAGATAATTTACTCACTTATAATATTTTAAGTGTAGACATAATATAAATATAATACTACTTCCTTGAGAATTTCAAATAAGTTAAACTTCTTTCACAGATAGAATGATCATTCTTACAAAATATAAATGGTAGATTACATCTACATTTGTTTCATTAGAAATAATTAAGATGAATAATTTATAACATATGCTGCTGTTTCATTCACTCCAACCAGTTCTCTGCTTTGAGGTATTTCTACCATTTTGTTCCTAGTGAACAGCTCTTAGAAATAACTATGTCTTTCTTTTTTAAGTTGTATTTAGTAACTTGTAAACAACATAAAAAACATGGTTACAAAGTCTGACAAGTTCCAAGATCTGCAGCCTAAAGTCTTGAAAACCAGGAGAGCCAAGTGTGAGATCTCCTGTCCAAAAGCAGGAGATCAATGTCCCAGCTTGAAGATCATCAGAGAGAGTGAGTACTTTCTGGCTCAGCCTTCTGTTCTATTGAGGTCTTCAAGAGACTGTATGAGAACTGAACAATTTAGAGAAGGCAATGTGCTTTGTTCAGTCTGCCAACTTAAATGTTAATCTCATCCGGACACACATTCACAGACATACCCAGGATAATGTTTTAAAAAGTATCTGGACACTCTGTGGCTTAGTCAGGTTGACATATTACAATTAACCATCATGACATATAATAGAAAATAATGTATAATACAACTTGCTTATTGGAAATGAAATGAAAGAAATAGCATTATGATTTGGGGACTTAAAATAGAGTTATGTAAATTAAGATGAATGGAAGCCACAATATAGACAATGCACAGATTTATCAATTAATGATTCAGAAAGTCTATTCCAATTGTGTACCATATTTTTAAGCAGGAAAGATATTTGAATTAATGGGCAAAGGTGTTATAAATGAGAATTAAAGCCATTATATATTGAAACACATTTCTTGAAGTAAAATCTGTTGTACAATTGAATCAACATAAGGAGCTCCAGTCAATCAGAGGAAAGATTATTAAGCTATTTCCTATAACTATGATAATTTTTCTAACAGCCAATCAATAATGATTAAGTAAATATTATATACATCTTATTATTCAGATGATGAGAGAATTGCAGCATATATAGTAATCATGTGTTCAGAGTATACATACCAATGAAGAGAAAAAAAACATTAGAAACAAAGTATGGTATTGCTTAGAACATATTTTATATTTAACTATATTATCAGTTCATAAGGTTAATACAATAATATTGTTGAAAATTGAAATTAGAAGACAGTGTTGATTTTAAAAAACCAGGAAATTGGTATCAACCTTTTGGGCAAATCTGTACACTCAAGTTTGGGACAGTAATTTTATGGTACATTAAAAATAAGGAAAATGCAGCACATATTCTATCTGACTAAATCTTATAAATAAACCCCTGTAAATTATATATTTTTGGTTGAAATTTAGATTGATTATGAGATCTTAAAATATACCTATTATTAACAGTTAGAAAGGCATGATTCTATGATACAAAGGTCATTTTATTCTTAGAGTTTATTCTAAGAACAAACAGTGATCATTCTGGTAGCATAAGTAGGCTAGAGTAATGCTCTATTTGACAAATATGTTACCTCCTTCAAAATACAGGTCTTTAAGAAATAAAGTAGTTACATCACTGATATTTATCATAATGCAGTTATGGTCACTGAATAATGGCCCTCCAAATATGTCCTTGTCTTAATCATTGTAAGCTGTGAATATGTTACCTTACCATGGCAAAAGGAATTTTGCAAATGTGACTAATTACAGGTTTTGAGATTAGCAGATTATCCTGGGTTATACCAGGGGGACCTAAATGTAAGCACAAGCGACCTTGGTCAAATGAAGGAGAAGGTAATGCGACAGTGGAAATAGAGATTACAGTAATGGGGCCAGAAGCCAAACAATACACTCTTCTAGAAGCTGGAAGAGTCAAAGGACAGATTCTCCTCCAGAATGAACCAGCCCTACCAACAGTTTGAGATGAGCTTCTTAAAACTCATTTTGGACTTCTGACCTCCAGAATGGTAATATAATAAATTTAAGCCACTAAGTTTGTGATGTATTTCTTACGGCACCAATAGAAAACTAATACCGCAAAGGATATGCTTTTATATTTGTTTGATAATTGGTTAATTGTAACGAATTTAATTTGCCCTTAAGGAAACCTCTGGCACAACATAAGTGAAATATTACTGACAAATTCATATGACTAACTAATACAAAATAGTGTTAAAAATAATGGTTTTGCTGATTCAGTAAGCAGTAGTTAAACCATTCACCTCAGCACACAACTCCAGGGACACCATTTACATTTTGCTCTGTAAAAGCAATGCCTCTTGAAGGGTGCTAATGCAACGTCCTTAGCAGAAACTCATCATCCTACTTTATCCACTTGGCAAATATAATGTTTTATACTTCTCAATTTCTTGTATCGAATTTTGTATCTGTAGTGTCATACCAACTGCAAGTACCAGTAAATCGAATTTACCTTGGATTAGATAATAAGAATAGTTTGACCTATAACAAGTCAAAAGACAGTGACTCAATATGTCATCAAGAACTCTGATTCTTGCTTTCTCTCCTTCCTGCTATCCTCAGTGACAGTGATGTCCTAAAGCTAGTTCATCTTGTCATCATAATATGGTTATCAATAAAATAGACTATATTTTCCATTTTTCATAAACTGCATAGAAGAGATTGAGGCTGTCACATACTAATACAATAGAAGCCTTTCCTTTGAGTCTGATTGAGTCAATTTAGTTTACACTCAAACTCTTGAAACAAAGACTATTCCTATAAGCTAAGTCATGTATTGTGTTTGAATTAAGCCATGGTTCCTCAATCAAATACTAGAAAAATGGGATCACCAGGGCTATGATAGTCTTATCTACTCTACTCCTGGGATTTTCGCCTCTGAGCCATATGGGCCCCTCAGAGGAAAAATGATTAATTTCTCTACACTTGTATAATGTTAGGAAGGCAACGAAAGGAAGAGTATATGTTGAAAACAACTGTGAAATAAATTGAAACAGATTTATTCAGAAGGCCTTTTCTTATCTCCTCACCACTACTCAGTCACATAGAACTGAGAATAATTTATCCTCCTTAAATTCTAAGTAATACCTTCATCCATGACCTTATGCATGCATAAACTCAAGCTTCCTCTTTTGCAGTGCAAATCACTTTGCATGTGCATTGACATCAGACCCTTATCACATTACCCTATAAGAACCTGGAGCAAGTCTCAGGATACAAAATCAATGTACAAAAATCACAAGCATTCTTATACACCAATAACAGACAAACAGAGAGCCAAATCATGAGTGAACTCCCATCCAAAATTGCTTCAAAGAGAATAAAATACCTAGGAATCCAACTTACAAGGGATGTGAAGGACCTCTTCAAGAACTACAAACCACTCCTCAACAAAATAAAAGAGGACACAAACAAAGGAAGAACATTCCATGCTCATGGATAGGAAGACTCAATATTGTGAAAATGGCCATACTGCCTAAGGTAATTTATAGATTCAATGCCATCCCCATGAAGCTACCAATGACTTTCTTCACAGAATTGGAAAAAACTACTTTAAAGTTCATATGGAACCAAAAAAGAACCCGCATTGCCAAGTCAATCCTAAGGCAAAAGAACAAAACTGGAGGCATCACGCTACCTGACTTCACACTATACTACCAGGCTAAAGTAACCAAAACAGCATGGTACTGGTACCAAAACAGAGATATAGACCAAAGGAACAGAACAGAGCCCTCAGAAATAATACCACACATCTGCAACCATCTGATCTTTGACAAACCTGACAAAAACAAGAAATGGGGAAACTATTCCCTATTTAATAAATGGTGCTGGGAAAACTGGCTAGCCACAAGTAGAAAGCCGAAACTGGATCCCTTCCTTACACCTTATACAAAAATTAATTCAAGATGGAATAAAGACTTAAATGTTAGACCTAAAACCATGAAAACCCCAGAAGAACACCTAGGCAATACCATTTACGACATAGGCATGGGCAAGGATTTCATGTCTAAAACACCAAAAACAATGGCAACAAAAGCCAAAATTGACAAATGGCATCTAATTAAACTAAAGAGCTTCTGCACAGCAAAAGAAACTACCATTAGAGTGAACAGGCAACCTACAGAGTGGGAGAAAATTGTTGGAATTTACTCATCTGACAAAGGACTAATATCCAGAATCTACAAAGAACTGAAACAAACTTACAAGAAAAAAACAAACAACCCCATCAAAAAGTGGGCAAAGGATATGAACAGACACTTCTCAAAAGAAGACATTTATGTGGCCAACAGACACATGAAAAAATGCTCATCATCACTGGCCATCAGAGAAATGCAAATCAAAACCACAATAAGATACCATCTCACACCAGTTAGAATGGCAATCATTAAAAAGTCAGGAAACAACAGGTGCTGGAGAGGATGTGGAGAAACAGAAACACTTTTACACCGTTGGTGGGACTGTAAACTAGTTCAATCATTGTGGAAGTCAGTGTGGTGATCCCTCAAGGATCTAGAACTAGAAATACCATTTGACCCAGCCATCCCATTACTGGGTATATACCCAAAGGATTATAAATCATGCTGCTCTAAAGACACATGCACACGTATGTTTATTGCAGCACTATTCACAACAGCAAAGACTTGGAACCAACCCAAATGTCCATGAACCATAGACTGGATTAAGAAAATGTGGCTCATATACACCATGGAATAGTATGCAGCCATAAAAAAAGATGAGTTCATGTCCTTTGTAGGGACATGGATGAAGCTGGAAACCATCATTCTCAGCAAACTATCACAAGGACATAAAAACCAAACACCACATGTTCTCACTCATAGGTGGGAACTGAACAATGAGAACACTTGGACACAGGAAGGGGAATATCACACACTGGGGCCTGTCATGTGATGGGGAGATGGGGGAGGGATAGCATTAGGAGACATACCTAATGTAAATGACGATTTAACGGGTGCAGCGCACCAACATGGCACATGTATACGTATGTAACAAACCTGCACGTTGTGCACATGTACCCTAGAACTTAAAGTATAAAAAAAAAAAAAAAAAAAAACTTGTCATAAAATCCTGAATTTACTAGTGTTAAAAGAAAAACATTAGACAAATTAAATTTAACAGAGTTCAATTGAGCAAAGAAGAATTTGTGAATTGGGCAGCCCTCAGATCCTGAAGAGTTTCAGAGAGCTCTGCTCCACGATATAGGCAGCATTTATGGACAGAAAACAGAAGTGAGGTACAGAAACAGCTTGATTGGTTACAGTTAGATGTTTGCTATAATCAGTTACAGTTAGATGTAGCCTGTGATTAGCTGAAGCTTGGCTGCTGTGATTTGCTGAGACTTACCTATCTGTTATAAAATATGACACTCCTAAAATTAGTCTTTCAGTTTGTTTACATATTAAGTTAGGTGGCAGTTTGTTATGTAAGAACCCAAGGTATGGAGGCATCATGAAGTCAAATGTAATTTTACACTACTTGCTGTGTAACTCTGATCAAATTACTTGCCTAAGCCTCAGTTTGTTTATACATAAAATGAACGTCTATCTTGTAGGATAGTTGTATATATTTAGTAGATTAGACCTATCAAGTACTGTTACAGTACTTGGCCCATTGAAAGCATGCATAAATGGTAGTACTGTTATTACAAATACTCTATATAATTTTAATGTTGTGATGTTTACCCAATATTTCTCAAATCACTATGCACTTTTTGCACATTTCTGAATTTCAAATACGGGAAAAAGTAGGAAGAACTATAAAAATAAATATATTATATTTTATTAAATCATGGCATTAAATAACCAATTGTAACTTTAATACAACATTCTCCTCAAATCCTCATGTTATGAAGTTGTAGATGAGAAATTGATGAGAGAGCAGAGCTATATTTAGATCATAGCCTATGAGCTTATTCTCTTTCCTACTTGACATTTTTATGCATTGTGACAAATTTTTCTGTCTTTTTGTTATAAAATCAGAGAAGAAGAAATATGGTTTTTGATAGGAATGTGTCAATGCTAACAGTTTCTTATGTGTTATAAAATTCTGTTTTCTACTCTCCTTCTCAACAAGGAGAAAACATTTTTGAGATAACACACAATAACAAGTCTAGAAAATAAAATCTTACTATATAAATATAAAAGTTTTATTATTTTTGCTTTTGTAAAAATCATATAATGTATTCTCACTTAGTAATGAACTTTTTGTTTTCTAGCTATAAATCCAATTCTGTTTAATAACTCATTATTTTTTCCTTTTATGAAGAAAACACAATTTTTTTCAACAGCAAACGTTGTTGCAACAAATTCCCTCGCCAGTATTTCCCTATGCTCTATTTCTAAAAAGTAGATAGCAAAGAGTGCAACTGATAGGACAAATAATTCATTTTAATTGTTCCTTTCTGACTACTCTATTGATAAGTAAAATACATATTCTCTTTCACCAAGTATGGATATGAAAGACTGCTCTTACCACAAAATTCAAATGAAGAGTTTATTATTGTTTTCTTATTTCTTGACTTATGCCTTTGGGAATCACTTCTCAAATGCATGGGTTATTGAGGATTTCCCTTTCTTTCTTTTGACATTTGAACACTATTTGTATTCTGTTGTCTTTTTCTATACTGATTTATGGAATCTCAGTGCTTATGAGTTTTCAGTTTTTTATCAGATATGTTTATTCATTGTTCTTTGTATGTGTTTGGTTTTTTCACTTTAAATTTTTTAATGTAACAAATATACATCTAATTTTCATTTTTGACTTTCACAATTTTTACTATTTTTTAGGTAATGTTACTCCAAATTTATAAAAATACACTCTTTAATGTTACATTTTTTATTTTCTTATTTAATTTTTATTATTATTGCATCTGGAATTATTATTTCTATGTGCATTAATGTGGGGAAACACATGTATTTTCTCCCAGATCATATTAAAATGCATCAAAATATCAACATTATCGTATATGTATTTTTCATATAAATTTGTTCATCAGAGAAATACAGTATTGAGATTAAAGTGACTTTACAGGAGGTTTTACTGTTTGACAGGTATGTTCTCCCATCATTATTATTATTCTGCAGTATTTTTTCATGGTATCTCTGCTTCTGCTCTGTATTAAATAAATAATTGAGAACTCAGCGATGTTCATTGGCGGCTTATTGCATGCTAGGTGCTTTCCTTTCCCACTGCAGATATGGCAATAGCTAAGACAGACAAGGGTAATGAACAGGAAGCTGAAATAGATCCACTCAGTGTTAGTAGCATCACTTTAACTGTATCACATAGATGCTGATAGGTTTGATCTTTCATGTGGTTTTGTACAAATGATGCAATTTTATTTTTTATTTCCACTTTGACCAAGGGATTTTTAATAGGAATTGAAGTATTTTTTTCTGTTGAAGAGTTTTTTTTCCATTGTTGTTGCCATTAACATCTATTCTTACTCTACTGCATTAAGAAAAGGTTGTTCTATCTTCTTTAAAAATTAAAGTTGCATTTGTGACTTAATATGTGATTAGGTTTTCTAAATGCACAGTAGCACTTCAAAAGTAGGTATATTTTTATTGTGGTTTTAGTATTTTGCATAGATTTACTAATAAAGTAAACATTTTCAGATCTTCTGTTAGCCTACTAAGTTTTGTCCAATTTATCACTCCAGATATGAGAGACATGTGAATTCTGACTGGCTGTACCACTTGTAATATTTTCATTTTTAATTCTAAGTGCTCTTTTCTGAGGTTGCTGGAAACATTAACCTATCATTTCCTTATTTTGTGTGTCCTCATTTTCTGGCGTATCCTCATTTTCTATTGGAATGTTACTTAGTTCATTTTTGTCTTTTCAAAATATTAATTTTAAGTGGGTTAGATTGTATTCTTTGCTTTCCATGGATTAACCTGAAAGATTTTTTAGGCTTGTTGGTGAACATTCTTATGTGCTATCGCAGTTTCTGGTTTCATAGTTTGAAAACTGTTGCTACTCTGCTACCCAGAAAGCACTCTAAATATGACCCCTCTATATAACTACTCTCCCTCAAAGTCAAATCTGATTAAGAACATTTGAAAATTTCAAGATGGAATCTAAGTCTTTCAAGCCCCTCCATATTAGCTACCTGAAGCTCTTTTCTCTATTACCCTCCGTATTTCTATGGGTACAATTTGGTTTCTGTAAGCAGTGTTTTATTCCTGAGGGTGAAACTCTGAAAGAACCATTTGCTGAATATTTCTTGTTAGGCCTATGTAGTCTCTTTCTTTCTGGTGATCTTATATCCATATGCAGTTTTGCCACATTCACCCACAGTTTTCAGCCAATAAGGATTACTCTCACATCTATCTCCTCATGTTTCTTCAATGGCTATGTCTTCTTGGTCTTCTTATTTGGGGATGTGAGGTTGGCGACAAGGTTTTGATTTATGTAGAGTCAGCTGATATGTATTAATACATTTTAATTCACTTTTATTTACAATTTATTTTTGTCTCTGACATCAACAGAAAGACAAAATCTCCAAGGCAGAATATTACCATACAAGGTCTGAGTTAGATTTATAGCTGTTCTAATATTATTTCCTAAGTGTCAATAAAACAGTAACTAGTCCAAATAGCATACAAACATCATAAATGGTTTTGGTTCAGTAACCTCAAGCATTCTATACTTGAAAAGTGTATAAATCAAAATCTATGAGGTTAAATGTGATAAAAATGTCAAAAATGGATTATGGTGATGATTTGCTTTTCTCTACAACATGTTAATGAATGCAAACACACAGAACTAAACCTACATACCCTTTAAAATAAGACAGAAGCATGTTCCATATGTAATAAATTCACAGCATTACATGACTGACTGGCATCCATAAACCCCACCTGTCTATTATTAAAGAGTTTAATGGCATTTTGAAGCCAAAGAGTGTCAAAACTAATACCAGCCCGAGTTGTAAAAATTTCTGAATATAAATGAAGAGAGAATGATGTTATATATAGATTCTAAAATGAATTATTATAGACATTATAAAGATATGTGTCATTTTAGATTTGCTGGATAAGAATAAAGAATATTGATGTTATGAGAATACAAAAAAATGTTCAAAACTTGAAGATAAACTGAAATGCATAGTGTAGGTTATTTGATAATTAGCAGTATAATATGTCAAAATGTTTCATGGCTATTTGTTCCCTTCTCAATTAGAACCTGTAACT
Source organism: Homo sapiens (assembly GCF_000001405.40). Taxonomy (NCBI): domain Eukaryota; kingdom Metazoa; phylum Chordata; class Mammalia; order Primates; family Hominidae; genus Homo; species Homo sapiens. The sequence goes on along the minus strand of NC_000004.12, from coordinate 131,572,894 downwards.
AATAAGCATTTTTTTAAACTGCTCCTTACAGAGCAGGGCTACCCTACAGAGTAGCCTAAGTTTTTGTTTATGGCTGGTAGATGATTATAATCACAGCAAAACATACTAACCCAGTTTATTTTGATAAAACACATTGATTTAATATCAACAAACAAATTTGTTTTTCCTTCGCACTAATCCTAGGAAGAGATAAGAATAATTTGAGAAACACAATCTGTCAAACTTAAGTTTATTCAATCCAATCACTCAGTGAACACATTTAGGGTACAGAAATCTATGTATGGTCCTGTGAAGGATGCAGACACAAGTAACTGACCACCCATTTTCTTAATGTAAAGATAGCCAAAGGATAATTTCAGCATCTCCAAAATAATTAAGCAAAATAAACTAAAAGCAATGTATTTTATAGCAAGAGAGTATTGTTTTTCTTTTTAATTTTAGTGCTGCCTTGTTTTTAACAACAAGCCTACAGAGTAAAACACAAACTTTACACAGTATTTCAAAAAGTTCATAGCTACTATGATCTTGGAACATTGCCATTTTGAAAAATGAGGCTAGAGTACTACAGCAAATATTTTCTGAATAGTAAAAAATACATATAATTATGCAAAAAATATCAGGAGATAATCATCAAGGGGTAATTTTGTGCTGGGGTGATTAATGTTATGATATAAACAATGCGTCCTGACTCTGATATAAATACTACCCATTAAAAATCTCTGCCCTGGTATTGGAAACTGATAACCGATACTGCCCTTTTTTTTTGGAGACTGAGGTTCCTTCTGTTGCCCAGGCTGGAGTGCAATGGCACGATCTCAGCTCACTGAAACCTCTGCCTCTCAGGTTCAAGCGACTCTCCTGCCTCAGCCTCCTGAGTAGCTGGGATTATAGGCGTTCTCCGCCATGCCTAGCTAATTTTTGTATTTTTAGTGGAGACAAGGTTTCACCATATTGATCATGTTGGTCTCAGGGTCCAGCCGAGACCTGCCTTGGCCTCCCAAAGTACTGGGATTACAGGTGTGAGCAACCACATCGGGCTTAGAAACTGATACTGCTATTAATTGGAACAGCTGTATCAGAGGATAGGGAAAGACAGCAGAAGATGATTATAACATGGATGAAAAATGAATTCCAATATCAAATGGGAGAGACAGTAATGCAAACAATAGCAGGTCAATTACATATTGATATAAACTTCTGAATAGGAGGATCTTCTGAATAGGAGGATCAAAAGGGCAGAATCAAAGAAAACTCTTAATATAAATTTTTAGTCACCAGCATTTTTTATCAATATTACTCTATTAATATGTAATAGTTAGATATTTATTGTGATAAAATTAAAGAGAATAAGGTAGCAATTACGAATAAAGTAGCTATTGTTAGTTTTTATAGAGTTTTCATTATCCAATGAAATGATATACAGACTTCAATAATATAATCATTCTTTAATTTTGAACTAGTAAGTGTACAATTTTTGCTAATGTTTCAAGTATAGTAACTAGTAGACATAATTTTACTGGTATTGATTGATAATTGCTGTTTGTCAATTGATAACTGTAAATTTATGTACCAGCTGCCATGAGCTACTAAATAGCTTACTATCATTATCTCTCTTTTTATTCCAGATGGTAGATAAAGATAAACCATACTGTAAACTATCCATAAATAAAATATATTTATTGACAACATAAGTATACTGAAGTCAGAATTCGACCTGATAAGTTATTTTAAAAGCAAAAAATTCAAGAGTTCATCACGTCTATTTTTTTGTTACCTTAGGGGTTATAAATAAATGTGTCTTTTTAAGCTATATAACACTGTGACATCAAAGGTCTTTTTAATCACAATACCCAGATAAAGTTTATGATGATGCTGTAGAGATTTTTAATTAGGAGAATTTACATAGATGGAAATTATGTATGCCCTTAAAGGGCAAACATTTAATAAGAGTATATAAAAGTGTTATTAAAATACATAACTGTAATGAGAAGTTTCATTTAAGGGTCATTTAGCAGGTGTTAGCCCCCTTGTGTTTTTCCCTACGTTGATTAACTCTGATAATTTTAAGATGTAGCTGCATCAAGAGTTTCCAATATTTATGCTAAAATAATGTTACCAACTAAATTTTCTAAATTTTTCTAAATTTTCAAAAATGAACATGACATGGCTAGAGAATCATAGCATGAGCTGGGTTTTTAACATTTACTGCTGATTTTCTAATTATGCCACTGGAATTTTATTAGAGTTGAATTTTAAACTGTGACGTTTCTGAAATGTCATCTTGTATGAACAAACAGATATTAGTGTGTCTATCTATGTGTCTGTGCATATGATGTATGGACACACACATGCACCTAAACACACTGACAAAAACACAAGACCTCAGGATCAAGGATCAAACCATTTATTTACTCACAAAGCAGCTTTCATGCCTCTGTATGTCTCACTTCCTGACATGGTTATATATTGAGGGCCAGAACGTACAATGGGGCTTGTACAACAGGAGGACAACAAAATTTTGAATCTTGGAAATTGTCTAAGACAGTTGGCAAAGCAGTCAGTCCATCTTCCCTGCCTTAGAGAGGAAGGGAGGGAGATTAAACTTTGCTCTGGAATATAGATGAAACCTATCTGAGGGGAGGGGAAGGTTTCTATTTTGGCCACCTCTAAAATTTAAACAAATTGCTTAGGGGAAGATGTTTCTATGTCTTCAAGGGTGGCAATTCAATTATACTTTAACTCAGGTTGTCATTTTTTCATTTAAGAGAAAACTGACTAAGCAGACATGAGGATATTTTCATGAGCATTATTTCCTAACAGGTCTACTCCTCAATTCTGTGTGGTCTAAATTCCGGCATATTTTCCATCAGTGTACCACTGAATTGGCCATTCTGATGAATATGAAAGAATGACAGGGCTAGAAACACATCTATTCAGTTTGTCTTATATGGCACTTAACACGATTATCAGTAGGACTCAGGGAAGCAGGGTGAAACCAACCTGCAGTATTTATTTCAGCTCCAAAATTCAGCCAGCTGAATAAATCTTGTAAACCATCAATGAATCTTAGGAAACCAGGTAGCTTTCTCTTTAAATTTCTGTATAGATCTTTCCATCTAGCCAAGGCATTAAGCCAGATGCACTAGTGATTGCACAGATGCAACCTTGGCTTGCAAGAAAAAGTCTAAGGTACTGACAAATTTTGAACTATATTTTCATTTATTTATTTTTTGAGACAGAGTCTTGCTCTGTCACCCAAGCTGTAGTGCAGCAGCACCATTTTGGCTCACCGTAACCTCTGCCTCCCAGGTTCAAGTGATTCTTGTGCCTCATCCTTTTGAGTAGCTGGGATTACAGGCATATGCCACCACATCCCAGCTGATTTTTGTATTTTTTGTAGAGACGGGTTTTCACTATGTTGGTCAGGCTGGTCTCAAACCTCTGGCCTCAAGTGATCCACCTGCCTTGGCCTCCCAAAGTGCTGGGTTTACAGGTGCGAGCCACAGCGTCTGGCCTAAACTTTGTAAATGGAATGACTCCCTTGTGGGTAAAATTGTTACCATAATATGTATGAATAATAAGCCAGTTTTACCTCTAGGAAATTCTCCCAGGTAACTGAGTATATCCTCATTTTGAAGAGATCTTCACAGTCAACTGAGGGCTACCTGGTTTACTAGTGGTATTTAAAAAAATAGTTAAATGTATATTATAACCACTCCTATGTGCAAATCACAGTGTTTTTCTGAGTGAGAAAAATCAATACATGCATTTCACACAAGTACAATGCTGAAGCAAATACAGTTCCCCTGGAAACAATTATTGGGGCCTCCCAAATGAAACATACAACAGTCAGATGGCGCAAGTTCCCAGTGATCTGTAGTACCCCACTGGAGCTTCCTGCAGGACTGTCCATCTTCCACAAGATGGTAAGCCTTAGATATTCTTATTCAGTGTAAATGATAGAATTCAGTCACGGGTTTCAGAGGGACTGCTTCAGGGTAGTCAGTTCAATCTGCCCTGCTTGTCCATGACACAATTCACGAACCCCTCAGAATGACTGAGAATAGAGGTGAAGGCAACATCTAGAGGTGCTTTTAACCTAAGGTGTAGGAGCTGGGACCATCACCGACTGACTCATGGTCAGAATTATCTGGTGAGGGATGGCAGACTCGGGCTTTAAGATACTTGCAACTGTATCGGGGAGCAATACTAGAGTATTTTCCTTCTGGAGAAAAGCTCCCGGGGCAATTCTGAAACAATGAATATTAATGCTCCTTTTGTCTGTACCTTTTAGTATTTACAGAGTTGTCTCCTCATGTGTCGGGATTTTTTTTTTTCTTTCTTCACTTTCACAAAATTAGTCTGTCCTATTTCAGTAAACACAAATTTCCATTTTCCCCAGTCATCTGCCGTCACTCAGACATCATCTAGAAATTATATGAAAATGCTATTGTCCCTCTTGCAGTAGATCTTTCTGGTGCAAAGTCTGACTTGTAGATCTTTCTGGTGCAAGAAGGACAAACACATTTTCATCTAATTCAGCCAGAATCAAGAGTAAATCATCTAGGTCTACTTTTGTGCAAGTTACAGTCAAGAGAGTCTGCTACCCAGGCTGATGTGGGGGTGCAGTCCAGAGAAAGAATGATGCATTATGCCCAGGAATAGAAAGGGCAGAATTCTGAAATTTCAAAATATAATCCCTAAAGTTCCCCACTCCTTTCATCCTGATTATCCTCTAGGCAACAGAATAGAGGAGATAATCCCTTTCTTAGTATGACTGCATTTACAAAACTAACAAACCAACCAATCAACTGACAACAGCAAACTGCCAAACTAAGTTCTGTGGATCAGAAGATGAAGGAAGTAAAGTCAGTCTATCAGCTTGTTGTTGTATAAATTCTACCATGAAAGGCACTTCCTTATCAAACAGCAAATGGTCCACAAAGCCAAATATATGACACAAATTATCCTCAAGGACCATGTGACAGAGGCAGCTAATTAGTAAGACTGGAGAGCAGGTAGAAATCCTGAATTTGTAAATTTGCCAGAGGATACTGGGGCCACAGTCTATGTAGTAAGTCCTCCATAACCTAGAGATGAAGGGGGCATCCCTGGAACAAGTCATAGTCTGACTTGCAGTTGATTTCCTCTGCCTCGGAAACATACAATACTCAGGCAGTAGTGTGATTTCAGGTGTTCTCATCAGAGAACAGACCATTGCCAAGTGTATCTACTTAGCTGATCCAGATAGTTCATTCCACAATTATGATCCACTTCCACAACCATGTCCCCCAAAAAGGGTGATATTCATCTGTAGCAGTTTCAGAGTCCAAGTTCTGTCCACTGAGCAGATGGTCATGCCTGCTTTCAGCTTGGAATAGCTGGCACTGAGGCTGAAAAATCTACAGTAAACACCACTGGGTTTCAATTAACATCAGTCATCCAGTTTCTGTCACTTAGGGGAACTTTAGTGAGTCAAATTCCAAAAGAGTCAACAGGTTCAGCTTTACTTCAGGCAGTGGAGCAGGACATAAATCCTCCCAGCCCAAAGATGCCAGTATCACCCCAATGATGGTATTTCATGTTCCCAAAGGGACAGCAGCCATATTCTCATGTAAAGCCAAGAGGCTGTTAGAAACATGTTAGCAACAATATTCACCACACCATATCTAATCAATAAGCACAGCTTTTCCAGCCTTTTCCACCTTCTTAAATAAAGACTTGAACTTGACCTACTTAAAAAAAAGAGCATTAAGCCAGAGAGGTATCAGGTTTCTATGGCTTAGAACTTCAGTTTAACAAGAGCCCATTAACAACCTACATTTCATAGAAGAATATATCTAGTAGCTCCTTCATAACCCTAAGTCTAAATCACCCCAAGATTACCTGCCAGTAAGTACTTCATCTCTTTGGATGTAGCCTTCTCTTGAAAAGTTTCTAATCAGCAAAAAATCATTAACACTTTTAGAGAGTTGTTCTATCCTCAGTACCCAAAGCAGCCAATAAATTGATTGGCACTCAAGCTCAATTTTAACAAACTCACTAGTGGCAAAGGGCAGGTGAGTTTGTCTTATTAACTCACTTATCTATCTCCAACTTTCCTATTGTCAGAATGATCACTTTGTTACAGGGATAAAAACTTATAGACATGTAACATCCAGCATTGATTTCTACCATACATTCATATATAGAAGCAACAAGGCAAAGGTCATTTTAATCTCTTTCATGTTTCTTCACTGCAAGTTTTGCTATATCCTATGGCTTAAGTTCAGCATTTCAAGGGTTAGGTTCAGAGCTGCTGGGAGATCACTTTTCCACCTGATGGGGGCTAGAAAACACCAGAGCTTTGGAAGCAAATTATCGCGGATGGCTTTGGACTCGGAGGCTTTCTTTCCCTTTCTTTGTCTACTTTCCTATTCACTTTCCAGCCTTTAGGTCTGCCTGGGATGAAGGGCTCTTTCTCCCTAGCCCTCACAGACTATCATGACTTCACCCTACGTTCCATGGTAACTTCATTCACTCTTGTGCCCATGGTTGGGCAGGATAGTGTCTTGGGTGACTGTTTCCAACAGTGCTAAAGACTTCTGAATCTTTCTCATCCTTAAAGTGCTGGCTTTTTTTTTTTTTTTTTTTTTGATGATGATTGTATAAAGCCTTCTGTTCTCCTAGGGTGTAGACTGTGACTCAATTCTGAATCATTAAAGCTGCTGAGGCTGGAATAGAGGAGAAGCAAGAAATAAGGGGGTACAGAGAACACTTCTTCACTTTTGAAAGTGAGTTTTGTTTACCAAACCCCACCAGCTCTCAGGAATTCTGGAATTTTTCTCTGCTGCTTGGGAGGTAAGAGCAAAAAGCAAAAGCACTATTCAGTCTTCTTTTTCCAATCTTACCTTCTGTTACTTGTCCTTCAAACACTTTACCAAATCCTCCTTAATGAGCAACTACATGGAGAAAGATGTACTTCCCAACTGACAAAACAAGATATCAATATATCCACCACCTTTTTACATTGGCCCAATGGTTCTCATTTATTATTTTTTTTGCAGAAGGTTATGTTTATGCAAGTACATCTCATATTAATCACCAAAATTATTGTTTTTATATATGTATTTGTTTATTTATCCCAGGAAGAAACACGAAGCTTCCGATCAGAGAAGAGATAAATTATTTCCTTTAAGGCATCTTAGTACCATTGCTTATGCTCCAAGTTCTTTTTTTTTTTTAATTATACAGAGTAAACTCCCATTCACAATTGCTTCAAAGAGAATAAAATACCTAGGAATCCAACTTACAAGGGACATGAAGGACCTCTTCAAGGAGAGCTACAAACCACTGCTCAATGAAATAAAAGAGGACACAAACAAAGGAAGAACATTCCATGCTCATGGATAGGAAGAATCGATATCGTGAAAATGGCCATACTGCCCAAGGTAATTTATAGATTCAATGCCATCCCCATCAAGCTACCAATGACTTTCTTCACAGAACTGGAAAAACTACTTTAAAGTTCATATGGAACCAAAAAAGAGCCCGCATTGCCAAGACAATCCTAAGGCAAAAGAACAAAGCTGGCGGCATCACGCTACCTGACTTCAAACTATACTACAAGGCTACAGTAACCAAAATAATTTAATACAAGTTTTACACTGTTCTAAATAAATAGTTTTTAAGGTTGAACACTACATTTAATATAAATTTACTTTTAAAATACTTTTTAAATTACTGGCATTTTAAAATGGATCTGGCAATACTATTTCTGACAATTGTTTTTGTAGTAGCCCTAAAAAAATTCTTCTTGACATATCCAGTATTTAAAGTCATGGTTAATCTATCATGTTTTTATTCTTTCATGCATTATTTTACCCATTGACTTTGTGGTTATAAAGCGAGATTACATAGAGGATAAAATTAATGTATCCAAAATAATAGAGTAAAAAATGTATTCAAATTTTGTTTAGGCTATTTACCTAGCAGCATAAGATGATTCATTTTATAGAAAGAGATGGTGTGGGTGATAAACTCCTAAGGTGAGCTCCATCATCTCTGCTGCTAGTGTTCATGCCCATGTGTGATTCCCTTTCCTGGAGGATAGGTGGGAATTTGATTTGACTATAACCAATAAAGTAATAGCAACTATGACAAGATGTACATGATTACATGTAAGTTTGTAGCAACGATCCTTCTGAATTATCTTTCTGCCTTGCTGACTTTGAGGAAGCAAGCATATATTTGAGGGTACTTCACGTCAAGGAACTATGAGTATCCTCTAGGAAATGAGGGCAGCCTCAGGATGACAACTGGCAAGAAATTGCTACTTTCAGTCCTACAACTTCAAGGAAAATGAATTCTTCCAACAACTTGAATGAACAGAGTTGGAACCTTCTCTAATTGAGCATCATGAAGAAGATAATCTATCTTCTTCTAACCCCTGGATTGCAACTCTGCCAAGGACCCAGCTGAATGATTTCTGAATTCCTGCCCAACAGAATGTGGGTTAGCAAACACGTTATTGGAGTAACTATGTTAGCAGTAATTTGTTATGCAGAAATAGAAAACCATTCTAAATGGGGATAATGAAACCCTCTTTACAGAATTACTATAGGTATCACATGAATAAGTTAGAAGAAAACATTTTGGAAATGGCAGGGCAATACAAAAATATATTACTAGCCAACAGATGTAAGTCCTTTCTTATTGGTAGTTACTTTAAATAGAAATGGATTAAACCGTCCAATTAAAGTCCATTAAAATTAAAATGGTGAGTTAATGCTAAAGCTCATGCGGTTTCTTTTGAGGTAATAAAAATATTCCCTTATAAGACAGTGATGATAATTTTACAACATTGTGTATATACTAAAAACTACCTAATTAAAATTTTAAAAGTGTCTGAAATGAGGAGCAAAATGATCTTGAGTGGATTTTGCTGCAGAACAGTCCCATGTTTATTGACGTTTAATCCCAAACTTAATCAAGCTTTTCTAAGCTTTAGAACGTTGTAGGATAATATGTTTTGATCACAAGTAATATTGACCTTGTCACTACTATGTTTAACACACATCATGGTTGTCCATTGTCTTTCATTGAAAGTTGCAGCACTATTCACAATAGGAAAGACATGGAATCAACCTAAATGCCCATCAATGATAGACTGGATAAAGAAAATGTAGTACATATATACCATGGAATAGTATGCAGCCATAAAAAGGAATGAGATCATGTCCTTTGCAGGGTCATGGATGGAGATGGAAGCCATTATCCTTAGCAAACTAATGAAGGAACAGAAAACAAAACACCACATGTTCTCATTTATAAGTGCGAGCTGAACAATGAGAAGACATGGACAGACACAGGGAGGGAAATGGCAAACACTGGGGCCTGTCAGCGGGTGGACTATGGGGAAGGAGAGCATTAGGAAAAATAGCTAATGCTTGCTGGGCTTAACACCTAGGTGATGGGTTGACAGGTGAACCTAACCACCATGACGCACGTTTACCTATGTAACAAACTCGTACATATTGCACATGTACCTCAGAACTTAACATTAAAATTAATAAAAAAGAAAGTTGTAGCATCCTAACTCTTACTTTTGGAGTGTCTCAAACTTCTAAATATGAATTTTTCTTTCAGGGCAAAAAGTGAATTTATGATGGCTTATTGAATTTGAAGCTATAAATTTCTATAGTATTTACACAATTTGGGGTAAATCTTGTAAATGATTCTTAAAAACCTAAGATTTTTGAAACAAACAAACAAAAATTCTAATAAAACATTATTATTTGTAAAGATCCTAAGATGACCAGGGTCTTAGCTCCATGGTAAGTCTGACTGCCACAGAAAGTCTGGATTACATCACATTTAGATCAACAAGATTATTTTTGTATCTATCAATAATAAAATAAAGAATAAAGCAGAGTTAAACTTTCAAAACAAAATCATGGTAACAACCACAAAAAATCACCTATTGATTAAGATAATTTAAATTTTTGCATATACTAGGATAACAGAAATTTCAGTTCTTGGGGAAAATGAATTGGTTCTTGGATGGTGGCTTCTTGGTTCTTGGACTTTATTAATAATATATCTCTTGATATGGAAGTTGGTTACATGGGTCCGTTCACTTTCCAAAACTTCACTGGGCTTACTCTTCCCTGGGCTTACTCTACATATACTCTTATGACATGTGTGCTTTGTATATACTAAACTTCAATAAAAGGTTTTCTTAGAATTATGAATTTGGATCATTTATTTTAATAAAATGTTGATAACATTCTTTTTAACTAAAAAAACCAAGATAAGCTGAGAAGCTGATTCATGAATTCAATTAAATTGATCCCTAATAGTATATATTTGATAACAGATAATTGTGGTGTGTATGCACATATGCATGTATGTTTTCTTTCATTTTGTTTATCCATTCATACATGGGACTTTCTCCACTCCCCTGCTCATCACATCATATCAGAGGGTGAATAATATCAACATGACTTATCATAGATAATGTTAACCTTGTTCACTTAATTAAAGTGGTGTTTAAATTTTTTCTCTAAAGTTAATATTTTCTTTCTATTCTCTGTTCGAATGGAGTAACTAAGTCCAGCCCACATTCATAATAATGAGAAGGATATTGCACTCCACCTCCTGAGGGGAGGGGTATGAAATAATTTATATTCAAATGTTAAATCCATCGCTGTATTTTATAAATTTGGAGGAAGATACTTTAAGTTTATGCAAATATTCTGTTTCTCCTTAATGTTTTGCCCACTAATTTGAGTATTCATCAGTGGATTTTGCAGCAGTAATTATTACTCTGGTGCTCTAATGGTGATTAATGTAGGGTTTTAATTGCATTGTTTTGTGATCTGAGAATAGGACTTATATGATATCAATTACATGGCCTTTATTTAACAAATTATTTTTGGCCAAATGTGCATTTTGGGGGCTAATTTTCTCATATGAACTTGAAAATAATTTATATACTTTCTCTATTGAACACAGATTACATTTACTAAATTATTTTCCTCAAAGGTTCCAAGTATTTGCAATTATTTTTTCCTTAACTTATCAGTTTGTAGTTAAGTCATATTAAAATATTCTAATACGAGTTACTAAGTTCTTCTTTGTATATTTTTCAACATCCACATCATAAGATACATACTTTTAAAATTACATCTAAATTAATTCAAAATTTTTACAGCTATTAACAATTATTATTATAATATTATGTCTGTCTTTTGCCCATTTAATATTTATCACCTTAACCCTTTTTACCTATTAGTAATTTTGCCATAACTGACCCTTAACTTTGCTGGTGTGTGTTGCTTATTTTACCTCATACTAACGATAATGTGATGTCTTACAGTATAGTTCAGGGATTGGGAGTGAGGTTAAAAACTTTCAGCTTAACCAGTCGTAGTGGTTCATGCCTATAATCCCAGCACCTTTGGGAGGCCCAGGTGGGCAGATCGCTTGAGTCCAGGAGTTCCAGACCAGGGTGGGCACCATGGCGAAACCTCATCTTTACAAAAATTAGGCAGGTGGGGTGGCATGTGCCTGTAGTCCCCGCTGCTAGGTAGGCTGAGGTGAAAAGATTGTCTGAGCCCAGGAGGTCGAAGGTTTTGTGAGCCATGTTGGTGCCATCCATCCTGGGTGACAGAGGCAGATCCTGTCTCAAAATAACAAACAAAAAACTTTTAGCTTGCTTCCTCGGGGGCATACAGCTGTAGTCCATGAGTTGTAGTTTATTCTGAAGCAAAAGTTACAATTTCACCCTCCTTTCTGCACCCTGTGAGCTGGAGTAGCTATGCGATATGTAGAGTCCAGGTAAAATAGAAAATATGGAGCCTCTTGTTCAAAAATCGTTAAGAATTTTAAGAAGGCAACTGCACAGTATTAAATCAAGCATAGCAGCCTTTTTGATATCAGGACCCTATGTGACTGCACAGGATACAAACCATGAAACTATTTCTGCCTATAAAACTGGCATTCTTCAAAACCTACAAAGGTTTAGAGAAAGCCCAATGACTGAGGCCTTATGCTCTACACGATGGCATCAGAAAATCTTCATTTTGACTTGCTCTAGGCTCAAATACACTTTTGTTTTATATTGAGAAGTAATATCGAACATATAGATAAGCCACCCACATGTATATAAACTGCATAGAAATAATTAAAGCACACACATATATACACAGTTATTTTTGTAAAAAGAAGGCATCTATCTCACTGAAAAGCAAACCTCAAGAGGTAATTAACCTAAAAGAATCATGGTAAACATTACAAAACAGTCTCACATTGGACAGGCTTCTGATAACATATTTTATTTTTATATTATTTGAAAGTTTATAAAACACATTTTGGATTAGTACAAATGTGTATATGTTTATACTATAAGTGTAAGGAAAAACAACACATATCCTACTAATACTTACTGTAAAATGTGCTATTTTAATTTTTCATTTAATTAGTGAGAATATTCATATTTGCTGAAAATGCATTATGTTTTTGTACCTACTCTGAAATTTGCTCTTATCTGCACATTTCTACTAATAGTAGTAGCAGAATTTACAATGAAACCAGAAGATTATTAATTTATTATTTTGCCCCACATTATATCTATGAATGTGTTTGGTTTAATTGACAAATTATAGTCTTGGAAATAGTATAGGCCTACAATATTTTTGATTTTTAGTTTAGTTACTGTTTACCTTATTTTATGGAAAATGAATTCAGATTACATCATATAGTATTTTTATTAGAGTGTATGAATTGGTACATGTATAAAAATATACATGAAAGGCCTACATATTTATACACATGGCAAAAGAGCTAAATTGTAATTATAAGAGTGGCTAGAAGTAATGTGATCACTGAAAAAAACTGAAATATTCTTGGTTACCTCTAAATATCATAGCACATGAATAAAATTACAGCCTCTGTTATCTATAATTACCTTTTTTTTTTTTACTAAAATCACTGACCACTGTATTCCAGAAGCAATTAAACCTTAGCTATATAAAAATAAATTATTAAGCAGCCATTTTTCTTCAAACATATATATTATATCCAGTCTTCTCATATGTCATAAAATATAAATAACAGGCCCTTCAAAACACCTTCACTATCAGAAGAGATAAAAAGAAAATGGACAAAGCGAAGATTCTGATATGTGACTTTTTTTAAGGTAAAGAAATATTTTCCTCAGAGAATAATTTTAAAGAGGATGCACACACCTTTGAGAATAAAGGCAATATGGATACTCATGTAATGAATACAAGTAAGATCTGTATAGAAATTGTAGATGGAAAGAGTGTGGGGGGGAAGCAAAGAAGTCGTTATTTGTCTTGTCTTCCTTTGATTTGAAATTTTCTGTTGTTTCTGGACCTTCATGATAGAGTCAGTAAAAATAAAAGGACAACTTGACAAATACTATAATAAAAACATTGAAGTCAAATATGAATTATCTCTCCTTGAGTTTCAGTCTCCCCATTTAAGGATTGGGTGACCTTGGACACACCCAAACATTCATCGAAACGTAAGTCTTCTCATTGCTTAGATCAACGTTATAATTTCCACTACATTAAGAAAATAATGAAAACAATGTACATGACAATAACTGGGACATTATCTAGTATTTATTAATAAATGTTAATGATTAATAATTGTATCTGAATACAGTTATAAGATAAATTATTTATAGGAGCCCCATGGGCTTACAGCTGTTACAACCAGATATTCTTAAAATTTCCATACTGGTATTTCACAGCACACATTAGCCGGTTTTCTTCAGTAAGGCTATTTTCAGTATGTTCCATTAACCAAAACTCTTCAAAATTTATTTTCAGGAAAATTTTCTTTTAAGGTACTATAAACATATCTTTCAATAGTTGTTTAATTTTTATACTTAATATATTTAAAAGTTCCTTGCATGTTTAAAATTGTGTATGAATTTTATGTTTGATTATGATGAAAAGTAATTCATAGATGAAAACTATCTTTGAAAGATATCTAAATTTATATCTAACCAAAATATACAATGTAATGTGCATTTAAAAATAAAATTATTTCTACATAGATAAATTGTTGCTCTCCTTATTTCATTCAATTATATCTCATTGCTAGGACTTGTAAATTGGGGAAATTTGAGTCTTATTGATGATATTTGCTCTTTGTTTCCTATGTTTCTAAGCCAAAAAGTTGCTTTCCAATTTATTGAAATAATATAATTATTTATTTTAAGAGTTCTATAAAACAACTAAATGAACCCAAGCGGAAGTTCAATTTGAGAACAAAGATTATAAAAATAGTCTCATCATCAGCCTCTATGTTAACACAAACTGATAATTTTGTCTATCAATAATATTCTTGACTTTGATTTCCTTTATAATTTCTATATCACTGCCAAGAATGAAAACAACACAGCTATGGATTGACTACTTTTTAGAAAAACTGCCTAGATATTTTATTATTAAATATGAAAATAAAAGCTATTTAGCATTAAATATTACTTTAAAAATTTGTACACTGATCATTTTAATATCTAACCTTCTGTCTGGCCAATGGAATCTGAAAAAAGTAAAATTTTAAAACATAGAAAAATGTTTCTCAATCTATCAGATTTATGAGACACTAGCTCCTAAATTTTATGGACTTTTTTAAAACCTAGACTTCCATGCCTTACCCCAGAAAATTAAATAATAATAATAATGCCCAGTCAATCACAATCAAATTGAGAAGATATATGCCTACATTTTACTCCAAAAATGCTTCAAAACAATAGAGCATGCCACTTTCAATATACCGGTCTATGAAGCTTATCTCTAAATAAGTAATCAGGGCACTTATTTTTTACCTTAGGGTAGAATAAAGTTCTAAAAACTAATGTCATTTGGTAGCCTTTTATTTATTTATTTTTTTGAAACAGAGTCTCGCTCTGTCCCCCACACTGGAGTGCAGTGTCGCGCGATCTCAGCTCGTTGCAAATTCCGCCTCCTGGGTTCAAGTGATTCTCCGGCCTCAGCCTCTGGAGCAGCTGGGATTACAGGCACATGACACCACGCCCAGCTAATTTTTATATTTTTAGTAGAGACAAGGTTTCACCATGTTAGTCAAGCTGGTCTCAAACGCTTGACCTCATGATCAGCCCACCTTGGCCTCCCAAAGTACAGGTGACTTTTATTAAATACATAAATGTCATATTAAAATTAGCTTATGTAAATTTATAAAATCATTTCAGTGTAACTTACATTTATTTTAATTTCCTTCTAGTAAGTGAAAATTACTGTTTTGATGTTAACTTTAATATTGCTTCGAAAATATAAAAATAATTTTCTATTTAAATAGAAAATTGAATCTTTCAAAGAAAAAATGGAGAAGCATCACTACTCTTGCACTGAAAGTAAAATTTCTGTATTTAGCTGAATTCTTTGAAAAAAATAAACCTGAGATTCTATCTAATGTGTTCTGAATATAAGTCATCATTATAAGTTCTTTCTTCTCTTTTAAATTGGCTATCTGAATCTTAAATTGAGATATCTTAATATTAACTTTTTTTAATTAACTCATGTGTAACTTTGTTATAATGTGAGAGTTTTCATAGTTTTCCAACCTTTGTTGAGAGAAATTCAAATTACACTATGGAAACTATTGTGAGTAATTTGGGTTAGAATCAAATGAATTAATTTTAATATAATTGAAATGACTCTATTAACAAAATGAAAGTCACATTAAATATTGCTGTTTTAATTTTAAAAAATTTAAACTAATCTTAAAAGTAAAGAAAGATGTTCAATTCAAATAATATATCCTTAACTTTTCTAGAGGATTTGTAGAAATAAACACTAGAATTCATAATTACCAATATTAAGATTTTTTGCAATGTGAAAATACAGGGAGTTGATTTTTTTTTTTTTTTTAATTTCCACAGCAGTCAGAATAGAGAATACTCAAGTGTCAGGCTAATGGTAGTAATTGGAAAATATGATGATAGATAATAATTTACACAGAAAAGTGCTAAATAATGCACATTGTGGAGAAAAAGTAAATGACTAACACGCTGATGGATTCTAAATTACTGTCACTTCAGGAAAAAATTCACAGTTTATATTATTGTGAATAACTCAATAAAAATATGCAGGAAACAATGAAAATACCAAATCATCATACAATTTTCTTTTTAAGGTAAGAGATAAAACAGTTTAATGTTCTATGCCTACATATAAAATGACAGCATTTCTTTTTTAAGATAACTAAAAATATTCTAACTAAAATCTTTATAGATATAAAAAAAGAAATATATACATAAATATTGTAATTTTACCACTTTAAAGAAAACAATTTATTTATTTTTTTTTAGTATTTGCTTCAGCTTTTTTTTAGCTTTTATTTTAAGTTCAGGGGTACATGTGCAGGTTTGTTACATGGGTAAATGCGTGTAATGGGGGTTTGTTTTGTAGATTATTTCATCATCCAGGTATTAAAACTAGCACCCATTAGTTACTTTTCCTGATCCTCTCCCTCTTCCCACCCTACACGTTCTGATAGCCCTCAGTGTGTGTTGTTCCTCTCTATGTGTCCATGTGTTCTCACCATTTAGCTCCCACTTATAAGTGAGAACATGTGATATTTGGTTTTCTGTTCCTGCATTAGTTGGCTAAGAATAATGGCCTCCAGCTCCATCTACATCCCTGCAAAGAATATGGTCTCATTCTTTTTTATGACTACATGGTATTCCATCGTGTATATGTACCACATTTCTTTATCCAGTGTATCATTGATGGACATTTGGGTTGATTTCATGTCTTTGCTATTGTGAATAGTGCTGCAATGAACATACGTGTGCATGTGTCTTTATAATAGAATGATTTATATTCCTTTGGAGATATATCCAGTAATGGGATTGCTGGGTGAAAATAATTTAAATAGAAAAGAAGGTCATTGATCACTGATGCCTTGTTTCTTTCTTTTTCAAAATGTAAATATCAAGGGGAATTAGCAGAAAAAATTTAACTGAGATAAGTGAGAAGAAAATACTTGCTTTATATAACACACTTATTTCAGTCAAGCTTTTATTATTCTTCCTAGGTTAATTAATATTTTCATTTCATTCTAATACTTCTTTATGACTCAATATATCAAGCATGCAGAATTGTGAACAATATTCGAAACACCTCTAAATCAACTTGAGACCTAAGAACTTGCAGAACAGAATGTACTCATTTGACTTGAGAAATGATGATTATAGCTAAAAGCCAAAGAAATGAGGTATTACTTCAGAAAATAAAGCTGAGCTATTACTTCACACTTAGCAAAGAAAACACTGCCAACTAGATATGTAAAAACTTGATTACAAAATATAGAGAATTCTTTATTAAACTGAACCAAATATTATGGAAAAGAGTATCATCTTTTTTCAATGAACCTAGTATTTCTATTCACAAAATCCAGGATTCACTTACCTTTTCCTAGTTATTAATACATATATTTTATTAAAGCCTTTACAAAATTAATTATAAATATTATATCAAGTAGTTACCTAGAGTAGAAAATGCCTTAATGTGTCAAGTCTAGGCACATAATTTGTAAAGAATATTTTGTCTTTGTTGATCCTTTCTGTTGTATACTTACATTCTTTTAATTTCTTCTCCTGTCATTGACATTTTCCATATAATTTCTTAGGATTTATCTTGCTCTTCTTCTTCTAACTTCTTGAAATAAATGTTCTCATGCAAATATGGGTGAATGCCAGACAGCAGACAGAGTAGACATTACTTTTTTTCCTGCTTGGCTCACCCTGGTCCTCATTCTTGCTCCCACATCACATTACCCCACAATATACTTCCATCTAAACATATGCCCAGTTTCTGCTTTCTGTCTAGCCTGGGTTAGAGAGGCCTGCTTATTCTTCACAGTTATACCCAATAAGCATGACATAAGAAAGGATAATTTTAGTGTTTCTCATAAAAAAAAATTCTGAAGAAATTATTAACAGCTTAAATCCAAGCTTATAGACAACAGATAATCCAGAAAAAATTATCAACTAAAGACAATTGACCAAATTATATTTATATTATGAATGCAAGTTCAGCTTTACAAAAATTAGTGAATTCACCAATACATACACAGATTCCAGGATAAAAATTGCATCATTATTAACAGATACAGAAAATGGTAAAATTCTATAGTCATATTTGATGAACATGTACTGTAATTAGGAAGTAAATAAACTGGCTTAATATAATAAGAGATAAAATATACTCATAGCTATATATTTATCTCTCTTTTTTTTTTTTTTTTGAGACAGAGTCTGGCTCTGTCGCCCAGGCTGGAGTGCAGTGGTGCGATCTCGGCTCACTGCAAGCTCCGCCTCCTGGGTTCACGCCATTCTCCTGCCTCAGCCTCCCGAGTAGCTGGGACTACAGGAGCCCGCCACCACGCCCAGCTAATTTTTTTTTGTTTGTATTTTTACTAGAGACTGGTTTAATAATAAATATTATCATGTTGGCATAGTATTTATTCTTGCTTTTCTCTTTTATATATATCCAGAAGAATATGTGTTTTTGTTTGTTTTTGAGACAGAGTTTTGCTCTTGTTGCCCATGCTGGAGTGTAATGGTGTGATTTCGGCTCAATGCAACCTCCACCTGCCAGGTTCAAGCGATTCTCCTGTCTCAGCCTCCAGGGTAGCTGGGATTACAGCCGCCTGCCATGACGCCCAGCTAATTTTTTTATTTTTAGTAGAGACGGGGTTTCACCACATTGGCCAGGCTGGTCACGAACTCCTGACCTCAGGTGATCCACACACCTCAGCTTCCCAAAGTGCTGAGATTACAGAATAAGTTTATAACATATTCTACATATAAGGTATATATAGAGTGTGTGTGTGTGTGTGTGTGTGTGTGTGTGTGATATAAGATCTAAATATATGGGAACAAATGATAAAAATCATATCCATGGATAAGAACTCAATAACTCAATAGTGCAACAGAGATATCTCATCTCAAATTTATCTATAGATTTCAAAGAGATCCCAATCAAAATCCCAACAGAATTTTTGTGGATATTGTCAATCTAATTCTAAAATATATATAGAAATATAAATAAGAATAGCAAGAATAAACTTGATAAAAATACAAATTTGAAGAAATATATGGAATTTATAACCATATTTATTAAAAATATATAATAAATAGAGACACATATATTGATGTAAGGAAAAACAAAAAGACCAGTATGATAGAATACAAAGTTTGAAAAAAAGCCTATGTATATATGGAACTTGAGTCATGAAAAAATGCACTGTAGAGAACTTGAGAAAAAAATGCTTCAATAAATGGCACTGTTGTATTTGTATGTTTATATAGTAGAAGGAATATTTCCCCAACTCCATATTATGGACAAATATGAATTCCAGTTGACTATAGGCCTATCTAATAAAAAATGATAGGTCATTAGAGAATTATATAGAATAATTAATACATGAATTAATGTGTATGGTTTCTGAATAAAAAGACATTAAATGTAAAGAAGAAATAATGAATTTTACTAAGAAAAACATGGCAAATTTGGACAACAAACACTTAAATCAAAGAACTTCTGTATCAAAACATAACAGAGAGATAGTGAAAAATCAAATCAAAACTGGAAGAAAATATCTGCAATTAATATCACCTAAAAGCACTAATACTCAAAATGTACAGAGTCCCTTTGTAATTAAATTTTTAAAAAAGAACAGCCCAAAAGAAAATAATATGAGCTAAAGCTTGAACTCTCACTTCCAAAAAAAAAATAAATAAATAAAGGAAATCTAAATGGCCAACGAACATATGACAAACCTATAACTTCAACGGTATTTAGGGAGATGCAAATTAAATCACAACAGAATTTAACAAAAATTGATAAAAATTTTAAAAACTGACAACAGCAACAACAACTCTCACATACCACTGGTGAGAATGTAAACTGAAATTGTTATTTTAACAAACACTGTATTTATTTCATTATGTTGAGGAAATCTATACCCTATAACCCAGAGATTTTACATCTGTATTTGTATGTTATATACTCATACCTATATAGGGATACATACTGAAAAATATTAACTGCAATATTACTTAAAATGGTGACAATTTGATGACAACGTAAATATTCAGCAATCAAAAAATAAATGAATTGTGATGGTATGCATATAAAAGAATAGTATAGACAGTCAACATTAACAAAATAGAGCTACTAACAAAAACGTTAATGAATCTTAGAACCACATTACTGAAGAGAAGCTGTCAGAACAAAAGGCATATACTGAATGCACCATTTATATAATCTTTACAACAAAACAAAACAAGACAAAACAAATTATATTGTTAAAGGACATATACATGGAAGTTAAAGCTGAAAAGACAACTGAGAAATCAATTCCCATAAAAATCATGTTAAGGCTAATCTTTGTAAGACGGGAGGGTGTCAGTCAGGAAGGTGTATTGGAAGGACTGGCAATGTTTTATTCCTTGACAAAAGCAATCATTACATGAATGTTCATTATATAATAACTTTTAAATGACATTCATGGCTGGCCATTTTTCTAGTCCACAGAAAAATTTTTAATAAGTAGATTTTCTTTACTTTTTCTCTCATTGCCAATAATGACTTGTTCTCCTTTTTTACCGTATGACTGTATTTTTTACCATACAGAGAAGAGTTCTACCTTTTTATAACATATGCTAATATTAGATTTTGACAACTTATTAAGAAGATTAAAGACCAGGCACAGTGGCTCATGCTTGTAAACCCAGCACTTTGGGAGGCTGAGGCAGGAGGATCACTTGAGGTCAGGAGTTCAAGGCCAGCTTGGCCAGCATGCTGAAACCCCGTCTCTGCTAAAAAAAATACAGAAATTAGCTGGGCATGGTGGTGCGTACCTGTAATTCCAACTACTCGGGAGGCTGAGGCAGGAGAATTGCTTGAACTTGGGAGGAGGAGGCTGCAATGAGCCAAGATCATGACACTCCACTTCAGCCTGGACATCAGAGCAAGAATTCGTGTAAAAACAAAAAACAAAAAACAAACCAAAATAAAAAACAAAACAAAACAAAAAGAAGAAGACTAAGAAAAAGAAAGCTAAATGTAAGTTATTTTGGAGTGATCTTAGAGATATCTTTATATTTTATTCTTCACATAAAATTGTGTTAATAATGGTATAATTTATTGAACTGGTATTTTACAGAGTCTGATAAATCTTTAAGTGATGGGCACAGTGTGAAGGAGGTAACTTTAAAACATATACATGGAAAAGACATCCTCTGAGTTCCTGACTTGGATAACACAATTCATAATGAACTGATTGAAACTGAAATTTCCACCACACATCATTGACCTGTAGTAGTATTGTTCTTACATATGTTTCACAGAGAAAACTGAAGCTGTATCTACCTCACTGTCCTCTAAATTCCTCCAACACAAATCATTGCCCAAAGTTCAGCAGCAAAATTGAGGCACCACTCTACACTGACTAAATCAGAATTTGCAATTTTAGCAAGATTCACAGATGACGTGTATGAAACTTAAAGTTTTATAAGAATTGACCTACAGTCCTCTAATGAAACATATATTTGATCTGACATATAAAATAATGCATCCTGTGTTATTAGATGTTATATAAATTTCAAAGCAAAATAAACACACAGGCTAAATATTTTTACAATTGAATAATTTTGCCAAAGCATGTGAATGACATTTATTCATTTTATTTTGAGTTTTTAAAAAGGACATTCAGATGCAGAAAAAGTGATGTTGAAGTGGGGAAATGTTTTCAGAAATCAGAGCAAGTAGAATCATTACAGCTATTTGTGTTAAAATATTTAAAAGAGTATAATTAAGATTAAGCAAAAACAAGTATGGTACACAATATGAACATTTTAATATTAATAATATGACATAATAATATGTACACAATGGAATACTATTCAGCCTTAAGAAAATAGGAAATCCTATAGTCACAACAACATGAATGCACCTGGGGGACACTATGCTAAGTGAAATAAGCAAGATCACAGAAAGACAAATAAAACGTGATCTCACTTATATGTAGTTCTGAAAAAGTAGAACTCATAGAAGCAGAAAGTTGAATGATGGTTATCAGGGACTAGTTGGGAGGGTGGATATTGAGATACAAAAGGATACAAAATTTCAGTTAGGCAGGAGGAATAAGTTCAAGAGGTCTTTGTGGTGACTACAGTTGATAAAAATGTATTGTATTCCTAAAAATTGCTAAGAGAATAAATAAAGTGTTCTCACCACACACACACACACACACACACGGACAGGTATGGAAGGTAATATATATGTTAATTAGCTTGATTTGGCCATTCCACAACATATACATATTTCAAAACATTATGTTGTACGTGACAAATATATACAACTATAATTTGTCAATTAAAAATAATGACTAAATTAAAAATTTGTTTAATGCATTGATAAAATCAGCTTAAGAAAAAAGAAAAAAAACAAAACAAAGATTTATTGTCCAGAATACATTAAATATGACTATGATCAGAAAGCTATATGGGTTTTAGTGAAATACAAGCCTTTGATATTTCTATAAATTATGTAATAAACATGATAAATTTAATTTTAGCAATATTTTCTTCCAGTTATTTAGAACCTAAACTAATTCCCAGGAACATAGAATGACACAGAAAATTCTGTTTACATCACTTAATAGCCCAGCACTCAAGTCTTTCATTGCAGTTTTTTATTTGTTTGTCTTTCCATTTTCAGAGGTACCAAAGACTCCATTAATACTTTAATTTCAACTGTGTATGGAATTTAATTTATATAAGTCATATTATTAATATTAAAACGAACATATTTCTTCTGCTAATACTTAAGTGTCCCAAGCATAACAACATCATTAAGTGAAGTAATTATTACATTATTTTTAATATTTTTATAATGGTAGAATATTTAAAAGTTTATTTTTTCCTGGGAGTCCAGAATAATGTAGAATTTACATGGTTTATAATCATATCAACATTGTGCTGCCCTTTGTAGGTTAACTCCCAGGGAAATCAAGTAGCCTAATTCCTGGCCTTTATGGGACAGTACACCTTGGGGATAGGCAAGGCATAATTTTTGCATACAAATGTAAGGACCTTGTCTGCTGCTTTGCTTCCTTAAGAGATTACAACTGCCTACAACCTGAGAAAACACTCAAGCCCTCCAATTGCAAAGTCATGTATTATCTGTGTGCCCAACAATTTTGGAACGGCAGCATCCTCAAATAACCACGTCTGTTCCCTATTAGAAAATAAGGGTATAAATATCAAGAATATTTCATCCCAACCATCTCCTCTTGGTAGAACTGTAAAGCACAATGACTTCCTGATTTCCTCTGCTAAACCCCTCATTCCACAACCTCTTCTCTCTTCATACCACTGCCAGCCACGCCTTTCTAAATGAACATCCTTGCTATGATTTAGGAACTGCCTGCAGCTTCTTGACATCCCTCCCTGTTCCCATGTAGGTGGTCAGAGTCCTGTCTTCACTGAACCTTCTTTGGAAGATTCTCCATGATCCATTACACAACTTAATTCTTAACTATCCACTAAGTTCCACTCCCTCTTGCAACCCTGCTTCATGCCCTTAAGGCCAGGTTCTTTGGTATGTTTTAAATAATTCACTGAGTAACTTAAAGAGCACGATAAAGTTAAATATCTGTTATAAGTAAAGTTTCGGTACCACAAAAGAAATAGCACTCAATATAAAATTTTCTTTTTTTTTTCTTCTTGGCAAGGCTGTTTACTTCTATAGGGTGGTTCACCCTCACAGATGGAGCAAAGGTGAGAGCACATCTCGACAAGGGAGGAAAAGGGGGTCTTATTCCTGATGCACGTGTCCCCTGCTGCTGTGTCATTCCCCTATTGGCTAGGGTTAGACCACACAGGCTAAACTAATTCCGACTGGCTAATTTAAAGAGAGTGACAGGGTGAGTGGTTTGGCGGGAAAAATGGTTATGGCAGAGCAGGAAATCGGAATGAGTCAGGGTGGAGAATGAACAGGTAATCAGAATGAGTCAGGGTGGAGCAGGTAATTGGAAAAGCTTGCTTTACAAGGAAGTCAAGTTTAAAAGTAGAAGGTAAAGAATTGAACATATTGACGTATTGATTCTTTGAAGAGAAAGTTAGAACTCATATCTAACATACCTAAAACAAAGTATGTTTTATCTTTCCAAGAAAATTCAGTAGTGATCTTTTGTATATATTTTCTGCATTTGCTGTGAAGCAAAAAATATATATGTAATGTGTGTGTGTGTGTGTGTGTAAAACGAAACCTACTGAACCAATGGAAGAAATGTCAGACCTAATAAGAGAGGATGGAAATTAAGTCTGTATAAGGCATGTAAATAGTCTTTGAGCAAAAATTACCCCATGAGGCACAACATATCTGTGTCACTCATGTATTCTAAATTATTTGCTTATATACACTGAGTAAATGATCATTAAAAGATATGTTTGGTATACATAGAGTATTCATTGATTGACTTGGCTTCTAGTTCTGCCTCTGCTATTAAGAAGCTATTTTGTCTTAGAAGTATCCTGTAACTTTATTGGGGCTTAGTTTTCACATCTGTAAAAGAAAGGGGACCAGTTAAATGATTCCAAAAGCTCCTTCTATATCAACTACTTTATAATTAATTTCAATATTAGAACAAAGATATTGAAATACGTGTTGTAGCAGGTCAAGCCCAGAAAAAACCTCTCAGACACCAAGTTGTAGAAGGAAGGGCTTTATTCAGCTGGGAGCATCAGCAAGCTACTGTCTCAAAATCCGAGCTCCCTGAGTGCACAATTTCTGTCCTTTTTAAGGGCACACAACACTAAAGATTTCACATGAAAGGGTCATGATTGATTTGAGCAAGCAAGGGGTACGTGACAAGTGCTGCATGCACCGGTGGTCAGAGAGAAACAGAACAGAGCAGGGAGTATCACAATGTTCTCCCATACAACGCCTGAAATCTATGGGTAACATCGGGTTCTAAGTCATGAGTTGATTTTTAACTACTAGGTTTAGGCCAAGCAGGCCCAGGCCCAGTTTTGGGCCTGGCGCCGGGCTGCCTGTCTTTGGTTTCACTTCCTCGTTTTTTTCTTAAAACAGGTACTGAGTATAAAACAATATGAGAGGGTCTCTCTCTTCCCTCAGTGTGACAGATAATTCAGGCAGTAATCTGTGTATACCTAGAAATAGTGAAGGAGTTAAAAAAGCAGAATCAGCTTTCAAATTGGAGCAGAGCTGGCTTCACATTAACTGTCCTATCACTTGAGGTCAGGAGTTTGAGACCAGCCTCTCCAGCATGGTGAAACCCCATCTCTACTAAAAATACAAAAATTGGCCTTAGCATGGTGGTGGGTGCCTGTAGTACCAGCTACTTGGGAGGCTGAGGCATGAGAATCACTCGAACCCAGGAAGTGGAGGTTGTAGTGACTGGAATCACACCACTGCACTCCCTTCCTGGGGGACAGAGTGAGACTCTGTCTCAAAAATAAATAAATAAACAAACAAATACTCCTATCAATACACACAGCATCATGTGGAAGTCACATAAGCTTCCAGAAACTCATTTTCTTGTTATTTATTTATTTATTTATTTATTTATTTATTAAGAGAGGGTCTGGCTCTGTCACCTGGGCTAGAGTGCAATGGTGTGATCTTGGCTTACTGCAGCTTCAAACTCCTGGCCTCAAACAATACTCTTGCCTTAGCCTTCCAGGTAGCTAGGACTAAAGGCGTTCACCACCATGCCCAGCTACTTTTTCAAATTATTTAGAGAGATGGGGTTGTGCTATGTTGCCTAGGCTGGTCTGGATCTCCTGGCCTCAAGCAATCCTCCCACCTTGCCCTCCGGAAGTGCTGGGATTACAGGCATGAGTTACTGCACCCAGCCTTTCTTATTCTTTAAATTGACAAATTAACATGTGAACTCAAGATTCCAAGACAAAAATAAGTAAAATGTAGGTAGAACAACTCAGTGTATTGGTCCATAGTAACTTCTAGGTCCCTTTTAAACACTAAATGGCTGTTCCTATTCAGTTTCAAAATAGATCTAGATTATCTGAGTGCTGCAGTTAAATAGTGTAGTGACAGTGTGACAAGATACATATTTAATCTCTCACATGTAGCTTTCCTCCTGGACTACAGTATACTTTTACATTTTTGGAAAAATATATGAGGATGTAATGAATCATATGCTGACACATTTGGTAAAATACAAATATATTTGCATTTATCATTAATGTTTATGCGCAGATTTGAGGTTATTGTTTGATTTCTCATGTTAAGCTTTATGGATTTTATTATGTTAATTATAGAAATGGTAACTGCTTTAACATAAAAGTAATTAAGATGCTGTGAAGGTTACCATGTTCAATCTTTTGGTTTCGCCTTCCAGAAATTAGAAACAGAATATTGTTTATAGAGGTCCTTCACTCTTAAAATTGCATTCTTGCATTTATATTGGCCTTCAGGGAAAATGCAAGCACATTGATTTAACTTGGTTGGAGAGGACACAACATTTTTAAATGTAATTTTTGTGTTGATGTAAATGCACCCAGAGGACTAAGAGTTGATCCACACTTTAAATTAATTGGAATAAGCAAGATTCAAATTCTAAATACTTCTTTGATTACCCATGGGAAAAACCTTATTTAGTATGGGTTTGAAAATGCGCATCTTAAAACATTTTAAACAATCACTGCTAAAAATAAAACATTCTAAATTATTCTCATTATTGCAGTAATCTATACAGTATATCAAACTTTCCAAATTTTAAGTAAATTTGACAATAGCTTATTTGAAATGTATATATTAGTAAATTATTAAATAAGATTAACATGATTAACCTTGCAATATTGCAAGATTATCATGATTAACCCTGAGAGAGCTTCTCTGAAATACTTAAATAGGTAGGGTATTAAAGGCAATTCAATAGTAATCGGGATGAATAAAAGACTTGGGTTTAAGAAATTATCTTTAATCCTTGAATTGATTTAGCAAAAGTGTTCTGTCTCTGAGAAAATAAAGCAAGCAGAAAGTTAGTATTTATTGTTTAATATAGAAAGATATATGAAAGCAATTATGCATATTGCTTTCTTTGAACTACATTATTTTTAGTCAATTTTGGCCCAAACATATGACTTTTTAAGGTCAAACTCCATTTATTTATTTAGACTGATATAGTAAAGCCTTCTTCTCTTATATTAATTGTAGCAAATTATATATAGCCATAAATCAAGAACACTTTTTGATATTTTGGTTTATGCTTAAAATATTGGCAGATTTTCACGGCCTACATAATTTTAAATAAGAATTGTGCCCTTAGTTGTGGTCTTCTTCTATTTCATCATCACCATCATTAAAATTAATTTTAACATTATTTGTTATGTATCATTACACATAGAGTACTATGTTGACAGAATAAAATTATCAGGAGCTTATATCTGATGCAGGACTAATGAAGATACAACTTTGCAGGACACAGAAAACTATCAGTGGATTTCACAATATACACAACATATGATAGACAAGGACCTTTATAGAAGTAAAGGGAATATTTAAGCTTGATCCACCAGTGCTACCTAAAAAGAAAATGTCAATATATGATATTCAGCTACATAGAGATTTGTGATAACTTGCATTTATCATTATTGCCTTCTCTTTGGATTCCTTGGCATTGTGTCCTCTTTTTCAGTGATTCACAATGAAGCTGGTAGTATCCATGTGAGCAGCTTCAAAATTAAAAGGATGGCAATGTTATATTTGAGAGTTCTTTTGTATAATCAGCAATAGACTTTTTATTATATAAAATAACACTGATATATAAATCTTGAAAATGACATCTGAAAAGAATCCAGATAGGCTGATGAAAAACAAATGGCAACTAATGTATTTTTTCACATTGACTATGGCAGTGATTTATTATATTGTCTAAGATGCTAAATATATACCATAAATCTCTCCAACAGAAGTCTAGTTATATTCATTCATCTCTTTTCCATGAGCCAAAATTTCCTTTTTATAAACTTGGTTGCAGAAAAAAAGTCATTATTTTTTAAGTGCCATTTAAATCTAGTGATTTTACATTGGATGTAAAAACTCAACAAGGTTTGTTTTTTTTGTTTGTTTGTTTGTTTTGGGTTTTTTTTTTTAAATTTTTCAACTTCATTAGAGAGATTACCAAACCAGAAATAAATGTTTCTATTCAAGATTTCCTTTGTGTTGGAAAGAGAGAACAAAATACTGCAGCTCATGGTCTCAAGTGTCAATTTTAGCCTTTATGGCACATAAACCCAACGGAAAGGAGAAAGAGGAAAAAAATGAGTGTAAAACATGGAATTCCCATATTGGGTAATTCATTCTTTTTTATATATTCTGTCTGAATTATAAATTTTATTAACTGTTTTGTTAGTTGAGCATACAGGTAATACTTCAACTCATTTTTCAATGTTTTCCATAGGAATACTATCAAATAATATATAAAATGAAACCATATTATCCACAGAACAAAGAGATTAAGGCTGTAAATTTATTTCTGTGTGTCTACTTGTCTGCTTATGAAAGGAAACGAAAAGTGTTTTCATCATAGAAAAATGTAAAATATGTTTTTGAGCTTAACTTAAGAGTTACGCATCCCAGGGAACTCAATATATAATCTATTTTTTTTTTCCTGGGAATAACTTTCAGCAAGTTGAGAAGAACTAATTATCATGGAATAACTAGACTCAAGGCTCTCCAAAGTAATGCCTGCATTTGTATTTAATCTTTTAGCAAAGATCCTTGTCATCAAAAGTTTGCATCATTTGTGCATTGTTGAGTTAACTACTCTGCCAAAGCAGTGTGCTCAGCTTGTTGTTTGAGTTTTAATATAATTTATTCTATTATGAACAATGACAACGTTTGTGAAATTTAAAAGCACAGTTTTTCTTAGATCTCATTTCAGATTTTACAGTGATATCCTTTAATTTGGATGTGGTCCGGATAACATGAAATGTGAAAACAAATGAGTGTGAATCAAAAAGAAATATACAGTATAAAAATAAGGAAACAAAGTAAGGTAACTTGAGTAAGAGTTGTGCAACACACACACACACACACACACACATTTTTCTGAAGGGTTTGGATAAAGAATGCATTTAAGTTTGAATCCTGACTTCTAAATTTTGTGTCTAAATGCATGTTATATTCCAGGTTTTAGCAGTTTTAACTGACAACAGGCATGAAAATCCTAATTCTGGAAAATCAAAAGAAGATTAACATTTGACTACCATTTATGGATCGAGTCTTAAATTGGTAAAGTAAAATAGAAATTTTAAAAGATTTCAAATATGAAATGGAGTGCTCAGCTTTTTTATAAAGCTTGGCAGCAAAGGACCCAGCAAATAAAGTTAATTTGAGTTCAACTAGTTTATAGGTATATTTAAACATAAAATGTAAATACTTGTCTCATGTAATCTTCAGTATTTCTCTTTGAATACATTTTTTAAAGTTCAGCATGTCTCTTACAACATTTGTGAATCAAATTTAACACATTTATCCTGCTTATGTTGTACTTTTGTTGTGTTCTATGGATGAGGAGATATAATAAAATAAAATAATGTATATGGAATAGCCTCTGATTTCGAGATGCTCACAATTGAATAGGGAAACCAAACAGCATACATAATGCAGTATAAACACATTATTTAAATCTATTTATAAGCAAAAATGATATAAGTAAATTATAAAGATAGAACTATAACAACTGTGATTACAACTGCATGACTATGCAGATAGAAAATGCATAAATCAATCTAGGCTTAGAGTGAGATAATGATTTGAAGAATGACTTAGTAATACTATTGCTGTGATGAAAATGTGACCTTAAACTTGTGAGAGTCAGTGGAAAGTTGAAAGTAATTAGTGCTTTTTTTTTTTTTTTTTCTCTTTGAGATGGAGTCTTGCTCTGTCGCCCAGGCTGGAGTGCAGTGGTGAAATCTCGGCTCACTGCAAGCTCTGCCTTCCGGCTTCATGCCACTCTCCTGCCTCAGCCTCCCAAGTAGCTGGGACTACAGGCGCCCACCACCACACCTGGTTAATTTTTTGTATTTTTAGTAGAGACGGGGTTTCACCTTGTTAGCCAGGATGGTCTCGATCTCCTGACCTCGTGATCCACCTGCCTCGGCCTCCCAAAGTGCTGGGATTACAGGCTTGAGCCACTGCGCCCGGCCTAGTGCATTTTTTTAACATTGGACTAACAAGTATCTCATACATAAGTTTCTTATCTAAAACTTTTTCAGTTTCTTTATTCATATCTTGTAATAGCCGGTGAGCGTGTAATTCAAGATTGACATTTAAACAGAGAATTTCAGAAACACTACCTGTATAAATTAGAGTCAAAGAAAGAAAGTTTATGCCAAAATAATTATAACCAAAAAGCACATAGCAGCATTTATTGTCAGTGAAGGTACAAAGTAATCATCAGAAGCTGCTAAAAATTTTTCATATGTCAGAACTAATTTCTCTTTACTCTGGATATTCAAGTTTTTAAAATAACATTTAGTGCTCTCAACAGAATTGTGAATTAAACAAATGTGATATAGACTATATATTTATACTCGTATTTTTATTTGTCTTTTGTGGGTGTTCTAGGCCTTACAAACTATTGTCTTAAAATTTGACTTTTTGACAAAGATAGAACAGTATTCTGAGAATCTGAATCTTACCCCTAAAGTGTTTAACTAATCTGTCTACAATTATGGCCGCCTGAGTGCTTTCTTAAAAATTAATGGAGACATTTTGATCATATCTGCAGGTACTATCTAAATGCACCATATTAAAGTTGGAAATCTAAAACTTTCTACTTCACATTTGCAAACTTTTAAGTCCATTCCTGTTATTTCTAAAATCTGAAACTCTTCATTTAATTTGAGAAGTTAAGGTGAACTCTCACAAAATAAACTATTTTGAGTTCCACGAGATGGAAGATGTGGGCAGAAAAATATAGTATTAGAAAATTACTTTTTAGTGTGCAGTAAGAAGTTTCACAGCAGCTGTGAATCAGGCATTTTCTAACTCACTGCATCATAAAGAGCTGAATATTCTTTTTGCCTTAACCAGGTTCTGGGCCACACCTTTCTTCTCCACACCACATCTATTTACATACCCAAAGTGCCATTTCTCTGAGATGGGCCAAATACATTATTTTTGTCCAAAATGTAATACACTTTACTTATTCATATATATTTATTAATAAAACAGATTATTATCCTTCAGAATTAAATTGCTACACTAAATTTATCTGTATTTTTGTTAAGTAGTTCACAAACACAAAGACAATGTTGATTATATTTTTATCTGACAGTTTTCTAAATATTTGTGATTCTTGTGTTCTGATATACATTTTTATACTCTAGCAATATTTTACACAAAATAAAACAAACATAGATGAAAGCAAACTTTATATTATGCTTCATACTTTTATTTGATCCATTTGCTAGCTCTTTGAGGATTCATTTACCTTGATGTCGCACCAATCAAGTTATATGTTGGAGCCAGCAATGTTCACCATAAGATTCCATACAAACAGCTACACTTCTCACTTCTTTGTAGACCATGCACACTATCAAAACCCAAATGTTTTAATTGTAGAAAACAAGCTGTTGTGATTTCTTTGAGGTTATCCTAGAATACTGGGGAAGATGAAGGCAGCCAGCCTGCCTTAGCAATAGCCTAAGATGAAAAAAAATGTGATTTCAAATAGACAGAAGAATAACAGAATACTGCTCTATCATTCTTTTTGCCAAGATCTAGAATGCTTCACTCTAGAAATATGTTTAGAAGAAATTGAAGAAGATATATATTTTTTAAAAGGAATCAATGAATCAGCATTAAGGTATCCAAGGTAGCATATAGTCCTGATTTAACTGCTATAAGCAGTTTGATATTCTAAGTCAGGCTATGAAAAGGATTAGTAATCCCATTTGAATAATTAGATATTCAAAGCATAAGAGCTTAGGCTATGTGTATAATTTCAGAATATAAGAAAAAATCATAAATTAGACTGAGGCCCATTCTTTATATATGGAGAGAGAATAAGCAAAAAAAAAAAAGATTTTCAAAACAAAGTTCAAGATGCATGGCTAGAAGCAGACCTCTTGCAATGCTACTTAGGTATGTTCAATGTAAATATGATAGATAAGTAGATAAACAGACATCAGTATTATCCTTCAATCTGAGGAAGAACAAGGCAGCATAACATTAGGCCACCTGTCCTGGCTTTCCTACAGAACTAGATTGAAAGATACCAATAGATTGGGGTTCATACAATTTGAGCCCCAGATGCTTTTTTCTACCCAGAAGTATGGGCCACCCGCAGGCCGCTCACACCCAGTGCTGTTCTGCACTGTGGGCTGTGCAGAACATTCTCAAGGCCCAAGGAGTCTCCCTTACAGCCAGAAGGAGCCCCACAACTTCAGCTTCTTGGCCAGCCTCCCACAGGTGTTTGCCCAGCTCCTCCTCATCCCAGCAGCCTTGCTGGAGACTGAACTAGAGGTGGTCAATCGTATGTGGATTGAAGGGAGTGGACTGCAATCAGCCAGGTTTGATCACCTACATTTAAGTAATTACCATGGTTAGAACTACAGTTTCATTTTGCAATGAAATATTGGATCAGCGTTGTGTAGTTTAACAACAACAACAAAAAAAGGAGGGGGGGTTTGCTACTTTTTTTTTTTTTCTGGAACGAAAAGATAGAAAAATAATTCATTCCAACTAGAGCATGTTAATCTAACAGGAAATTCACACTTCAGAATACTAAAATCTTTAAATTGCATTTAATTATCAAAGGATCAAAAGCAACCCACTTAAAATAACATTTTCTTTACTGATATTAGATTTAATTTTCTGACTATGTCTCTCTTTGTGTATGTCTCTCTTTTCAGTCTTTCTTTCCCTTCCTTTCTAATAGACACCAATTAGTTCTGATATATGATAGGTATAGAATATTGTGGTAGACTGAATAATGGCCCCCCCCAAAGATGTCCCATCCTCATCACCAGGACCTGTAAACATATTATCATATATGGCAAAAGGACCTTTGCAAATGTGATTAAATTCAGGATTTTGAGTTGGGAAGTTTATACTGGATTATCCAGAGAAAGCCAACATAATCCCAAGGGTCTATAACAGAGAAGACAGAAAGATCAGTCAGTGTGACAATAAAAGAAAGAAGTTAGAGTGATTTGAGAAAGGGATCTCAGCCTCTAGAAGCTGGAGAAGGCAAGGAAACATTCTCCAATAAAGCCTTTTGAAGAAATGCAGCTCTGCTGGCACATTGATTTTAGGCTTTTGACTTCTTGTACTTCGAGAAAAAAAATATTGTGTTGTTTTAAGTGGCAGAGGTAGAGCTGATTTGTTACAGCAGCAACAGACAACTACTACAAGTGTTGCCAAAGGTGATTCTGGGAAGGAGACAGGAGTCCCTTCATGGCTGAATAATTAGAGAATGCACTAGGGAGAAAATAATAACTGAATAATTTTGAAAGGTTTGCAGGATTTAATTTGATGACTATTGATAGGATTATGTTCTTCTGTCCTTATGATATAACCTTAGTAATCAAAGACTGATATGTGTGATACTGATTTTAAATGGTGAGTGGTCTAAATTGGCTAACAATGAGAGAGTTCAATATGTTACCAGAGTGAATATCAGTGTCTCAATGAGTGAAAAAAATAGGAATCATAGGAACAACTATATAGGAAATATAGCAGAAGGAATGAGTATAGAGGAAATAGTAGAAGTTTGCTGAAAATAGCAATGGATACAAAATTGTGGATTTCCTTGAATATTTATACTAGGAAAGAGAGTTTTTTAAAGGACAAACAACTTTGAAGATAATAAGAGGAGGAGATGAAATCAAGACCCATTTATCAAAATCCATGTCTGGGTCTTAGTCTCCTGATGAGGAGTTCGAACTAGATATTCTATATTATGTTATTTCATATAAAGTATACAGGTAATGAAGGTACTTTAGGCATAAAATAATCAAAAAAGTTTCATTCATCTAAAATTAGTGAAAGAGTATGATCGATAAATGTTTCTCAAACTTTAATATGTGTATGGTTTACTTGGATATCTTATTAACACACAGGATCTCAGTTAGTAGGTCTGGATTGTCACATTTTTATCACACTCCTAGGTCATTCCCAGACTTTGGCTCCTCAATGTCTATTTTATTGTCTATTGTGAGAGCACTGAGCCTGCAATTTTGGAAAGTGTTTCAAAAAATTCTTATAATCACAAGAAGTTTGAGAATCATTGCATTCAAGTAATTAATCCATATTTTGGGCCTACTAATTACTAACCAGGCAGAATAGCTTCAGTGTCATTGAAGCATTTATTATTAGCACAGACACTAGGTAGTAACTGATCAAATTTTGTGTGCTCTGAGACCATTTACTGAGCCTGCAATTTTTTGTTTTATTTCAGGTCTAAGGAGAACACTTTATTAAAACTAACAAAAAATGTGAGAGAGAAACTGTCAAGAAAAAAGAAAAATAATAGCAAAACTGAAGCAAGTAAATCTTGCTACAGCATTTTAAAATGATTTCTTTAATCAAGATGTTAAACTTCTGGTTATGCATTCAGATTTGTGTGTATGGGACCATTGCACGTGCATGCACACGTAGGCACACAACCTGCAGTCTTGATGACTATTCTCAAACATTTTAAACTTAGAGGAAAAAGCAAAAATATGAAACTCTTAGTGCTTTATTTTCTTCTGCATGTAGTGCTTAAAAATATATATTCACACTTACTCATCTGTGTAACATAAGAAAAATATTACATTAAAAATAATTAGAATTTCAACATTCTTTGATCTAGTCTTTTATAATCTTATCTGTTTTTCTTCTTTTTTTGTAAAAAAGATGTATAATATCCTGTGGTTAACACAAAATCTTCGAGAAAATGGTTATTGTTTTAAATCTACAGGCTTTTATAAGCAAAGGGAGTGTTGAGTAAGTGACTCACCGTTGGTTAAAAATGGCTTTTTTCTCTTCCTGTGAATGATGATATGTGTTGTAAGCTTAAGAGGATAGGTACTTAAAAGTGCAGTTTTATTTGTGTCCATTATTTTAAAAGTCTATCTTCTTTTCTATTGCAGGTTTAAAATGGAAATCTAAAGTGCAGTTTTGTTTGGCTTGGAATTTTTAATCCAGAAGTGGTATTTTATAGATTAATCTATACTTTTAAAATATCCTAGGACTGTGTCAATGTCTCTTGAGTGCTTCACTTATGTATATATATAAAAAACATAAAATCTCAACCATAAGAATAGACAATTTCCTTCACTTACAGTTTGGTCTACTTCCAGATACTTTAGTGTGTTATATTACCTGTCCTGCTGTCCAAGTCATATCAGAATCACAAATGGGCACATTGAGATAAAGCATTTAAAGCAATATTTCAAGGAATGCTTTTTCCTAGCATTAACATACCGATGATGCCAAATATTACACTATTTAGTGATTTTTATGCAAGAAACACCACATTTTTAATTTAATTATTCTTCACATTATCCCTGGTAACTTGGTAGATAACAAGTATTAATACAGCTATCTTAAAGCTGGAGAATCCACACCAAAACGATTAAGTTTATCAACATCTTTAACAGGAACAAATAAAACACCAGACAGTATGTTAAACATCTTAAAGACCAACTAGCTTGATGAACTAAATTATTCTGCCTTATAAAGAAAAAAATGGTTATTTACAGATATTAAAATGCACTGTAAAGTGTCCTTGGAGGAGCAGATGTACTTTTTAATAATGAGATACTACAATATAGTTTTCATGACACATTACCCCTGTATAACAGATAATCGTAGATTGTGATAAACATAACAACGACCTTTATATGACAATGACTTACTTAGGGTTTTTAGTAACCTGAGAATTGTGATAACAGAACATCTAAGAAAATGAACTAAGGGTAAAGTTGTGATTGAGAAAGTGGCAGCTGTCATTCATATTAACCAACATACAGAAATGGGGGGTCATTTTTGGGATTTGGGCAAATGTTCATGATTTTGTCTGTATTCATAAGTGATTGTAAACGGTCTTATTTTTCTTGGTCCTTCATGGTCACAGAGTTGTCTCGTCTGATGTTAGTATTCTGTGAAATTTTTATGTTAAAGAAGAGATCACAAAAGCGTAACTGTGTCTACCAGGCCAGCTTCTAACAACACCAAGCAAGGCCTCATTGATAGACCAAGCCAGAATAGTTTCTGCCAGGAGCTACTTTTTTCTCTTTTTTTTTTATAGTGATAAATTATATAAGCATTCCTGGAATATATTCTATTTGTTCATAATGCATTATTCTTTTTTATACATCAGTGCATTTGATTCACTGTTTTTTAAATTGTCATTTATGTTTATCAAAGAGTTGGGTGATAATTGATTTTCTCATAATATCCCTGTCTATTGTTTATAGAAATGTTATCCTGGCTTCCGAAAGTAAGTTGCAAACCATTCTCTATTTTCTATTCTATTAAACAGTTTATATAAGTTTATACTTAATTATATATATTTTAAAATATGAAAGCATTCAACAGTGAATATACATGGGCTTTTGGTTTTCTTTGTGAGAACATTTTATATTACACATTGATTTTTCTTTTCTTTTTTTTTTTTTTTTTTTTGAGACAGAGTCTCACTCTGTCGCCAAACTAGAGTGCAGTGGCACGATCTTGGCTCACTGCAACCTCTGCCTCCTGGGTTCAAGCAATTCTCCTGCCTCAGCCTCTGAGTGTAGCTATGACTACCGGCGCATGTCGCCATGCCCAGCTTTTTTTTTTTTTTTTTTTTTTGGATTTTAGTAGAGACGGGGTTTCACCATGTTGCCCAGGCTGATCTCAAACTCCTGAGCTCAGACAATCAGACTGCCTCGGCCTCCCAAAGTGCTAGGATTACAGGCTTGAGCCACCACGCCCGGATGATTTTTGTTTTCTGTAATATTTTTAACTGTTTTTTGGTTTGTTTGTTTTAGTAATTTTTCCTCACAAATTTATCCAGTTTTTATGTATGACAATATTGGCAATATGTCAAATTATTGGTATAACATTTTTTATAATATTTGCTTTCTGTTTAATATTAGTGTGGTCTGTCATTGTGTCTATTTTCATAAAAAATTTTGTTTTTTCTTTTGTTTTTCTAGATTAAGTTATAAAGGGTATAGCCAATTTGCTTGCTTAGTCTAAAAGTAACCCCTCCCTCACTTTGTTTCTTGCTACAACGTGTATTTACTACCTGTTTGCTTGAGAGTTCCAAAGACTGATCTCGAAACAGTCCAAGCATTAAGTGAAGATCACAGTTGCAATTTTCTCCCTTCTGAGAAGAAACTGGTGAACAGTTAATTCATAACCAGACCCCCACTGAGATGCTGCCAACTAGGTCAGCAAATGGTCCATTACTCAGGGTAGTCAACGGAAAACAACAAGCCGACCTGCAATCCACACCACTTCTGCACATAGTTTCCATGCCACATTTCCCCTTAAAATCCCTTTAGCCAGCCTGAGACTCTGAGATGGCTTTTTGAGATTTCAGTCTGGCCATCTCCAAAGTTGCTAGCACATAAATAAACCTGCTTTCTTTCCATCAAGTAGTGAGCAGTTGAACCTGAGTTTGGTTACAATTACCTGGCATTCAGCACAGGGTGATAGGCCTCAGGCATCCAGCCTCTCTGGTTTCAAACAGATGGAGTAATTGGCCAAGGCAGCGTCAGGACTTACCTGTACGCACTATGGGCAGAGTGACAACTGCTCACGAGTGCCAGCTGCTCATGGATAGCTGACCTCACAGCTGGGATTCTAAAGACATCCAGGAGCTGCTAAGAATTCTTTATCTCAGGTATCCTCCCTTCTTTCTCCATTGTGGCATCAGGTGCCTGCAACACTTCACTGGTGCAAGGAATACTATGATTGGGAAGCTGAAGGGCTTCAGGACTGCTTAAGCTAAACTGGTATGTACACTGAACATCCTCTGTCTCTGGCATTTTGGTTTTGTGGCATTTGGACCTAACATATGTTGTTTGCAGTACCAACTGGTTTGAGATAAGATTTATTAACTTTCCAGTCTCCCTCTATGGGAATTTGTTTGGGAGTACTCTGTTTTCTTTGATCTGTGTATTTGTGCTCCTTTGTTCCCTAACTTCAAAATGTGCAGCTCAATTTTTATTCTACCTAAGAGCCCATTGGGCCATACCCTGGCTGATTAAGAAGATTATAGCTACAAACCCATGACAAAAATAAGACTAAAACTAATTTAAGATCATTGGTTTAATGAAAACAGCTAAATCCTCTGAGTTATCGGCAAAAGCCCATCTGCTTAATGTTAAGGTTCTTACTTAGGTGAATATCTTATGTTCATAGGCATTAAAAGTGGTTAAAAATTATTTTTAATATAAAATTAATTATAAAAAGACATAAAATTATGTTTTTATTGAAAAATTGCCTAAAAATTATTTAAAGGTTAATTCAAATTGTGGACTTTAAAAGTTATAAAAAAGAAAGAAAGGTAAACATTTGTGTATATAATTAGGTTGGCTATAATTTTTAAACACATATATTTATATAACTTTTTAATGATAGTTCCCCTATGTTAAAACAAGATTTTCTTAAGGTATTGAGTTTCTCCTAATAAAATTATAAGATGTTTTTATGTTTAATTCTATAAACTGTTTTATTTATTTGACAACTTCTCAGATTCATATCTCAGACGTTCAAATTTTGCTGCTTTCAGCTTTTTCTGTCTTTGAGAAGGCCTAAGATAATAACTTTGTCCTTCAATTTTTTTATCAGTCAGCTTCTGTAATTTTTTTCCCTCTGATTCTAACTACTGTTATGGCCTGATGCTGAAATATTTTATATTAAAGGTCTAAAAAAATGGAAAAAGCAATATTTTCCTTAGTATAAATTGATTCTGTACTCTTGGCTTTATCTACATTTTTCAATGTAATCAGAAAACTTCTTATGTAGCTACTAAGAGTCATGTATTCTGCTATACTCATAACCGTATAATTAGTTCAGACCCTCCATATCAAAGATGGTCAACAGACACTTAAACAGCAGATGGCTCAACAGGTAGTGCTTATGGATATCAATTTTGTAAACTTGCTTTTTGACTCTCATGTTGTCTAAAAGGTTTAAGGGATTTATGAATGCCTGCCCACTTCCATTTCTGCCTGACCTAAAATGTTTAATTGGCTATAAGTCTTTTTGCTCTATTTCCCTTAGCCAGAGGGGCCCTACCTAGGGACAAGATAGACCTGGAGCAGGCAGCCACAACACCCTGGCAATATGGGTCAAAATAAAAGCATGGACATCAGTGCTGCCTTATCAGCACCTTTCCAGGATTTAGGAGAGACTGAGCATCTGACACCTTTAAAAGTCTGAAAAGAAAAAAAAAAAGAACCCTCCATTATCTCTGAAAACTGGTACCTGTGCAGCTTCATCTACAAAACAAGGACACTTTACTAGTCAGGCCTCTTCCTTTCTCCCTCCCAATAACCTGTCCTGAAACTAAAAGTTGTTTTTGGCCATCCTCTGAGCCCACATTCTTTCTATAACCTCATGATGTTACATAAGTTCTGTATTTTGTTGGGAGGTTGGAGTCTTCACTCTGAAGGCTCCCATATATACACAATAAATAAATTGGTATGCCCTTCCTCCTATTAGTCAATCTGCTTTGCATCAGTAATTTTCAGTGAACCTTTAGGGGGCCAAGAGTCAATGGCCCCCACAGTTTATATACTATATTTTTATACAATCATTTAGTCTCAGTAATGCTATTTGAATGGTTTTTTAAAGTTCCAATCTTCCATTAAAATTCTTCCTTTTTTACTCTAGTTTCCTATTTTTGTTTCCATTTCCTTAAACTTAATATTAAGAGATTTATTTTTTTTCAGGTAACTCCAATATTTGGATCACCTGTGGGTCTACTTTTTTCTTAATTATTAGAGATATGATCTATATAAATTTTCTATCTTCTGCCAACCATCAGATATTTTTTCTTTTTCTTTTTATTATTATTATTATTATTTTTTGACAGAGTCTTGCTCTGTTGCCCAGGCTGGAGTGCAATGGCATGATCTTGGGTCACTGCAACCTCCACCTCCCAGGTTCAAGCGATTCTCCTGCCTCAGCCCCCCAGTAGCTGGGATTACAGTTACCCACCACCACACCTGACAAATTTTTGTATTTTTTAGTAGAGATGTGGTTTCACTATGTTGGCCAGGCTGGTCTTGAACTCCTGACCTCAGGTGATCCACCCGCCTTAGCCTCCCAAAGTGCTGGGATTACAGGCGCGAGCTACCGCACCCAGCATCACATATTTTAAAAAATGTAGTGCTCCACTGAACTCATCCTGCTTTATACCTGACGCAGTAATAGCTGATCACGGTCATCCTATCAGGCAAGCTCAGCTGGAAGAACAAGCTAGATAATTGCCCCCATTGTAACTGCCCAATGGTTTCACTTTGCCCTCTGCCTAGACAGAGCTGATTTATCAGGACAGGGGGATTGCAATAAAGTGTAATTCACCCGGAGTGGGGCTGTGTGGGAGATCAGAGTTTTGTTATTACTCAAATCAGTCTCCCTGAGCATTTGTTGATCAGAGTTTTTAAGGATAATTTGGCAGGGAGGGGCTGGGGAAGTGGAGAGTGCTGATTGGTCGAGTGGAGATATAAT
Organism: Homo sapiens; assembly: GCF_000001405.40. Classification (NCBI taxonomy): domain Eukaryota; kingdom Metazoa; phylum Chordata; class Mammalia; order Primates; family Hominidae; genus Homo; species Homo sapiens. The sequence goes on along the minus strand of NC_000004.12, from coordinate 131,532,125 downwards.
CATAGTGGAGTTGAAGTGAGGTTTTTCTTGCTGACTTCTGTTTGGGAGTGAGATCACAGAACCGATCGAGCCAGATTTCCAATCTGGGTGGTGTCCGCTGGTGCATCAGAATGCATGGTTTGCAAAATGTCTAAAGCACTAATCTTAGGCTTTACAACAGTGATGTTATTCCCAACAGCAATTTGGGGAGGCTCAGACTCTTGCATTCGGAAGCTGCATGGCCCCTAAACCATAATTTCTAATCTTGTAGCTAATTTGTTAGTCCTACAAAGGCAGCCTAGTCCCCAGGAAAGAAGGGGGTTTGTTTTGGGAAAGGGCTGTTATTGTCTTTGTTTCAAACAGTAGACTATAAACTAAGTTCCTCCCAAAGTTAGTTTGGCCTATGCCCAGGAATGAACTAGACAGCTTGGAGGTTAGAAGAAAGATGGAGTCAGTTAGGTCAGATCTCTTTCACTGTAGTAATCATTTCAGTTATACTTTTGCAGTGGCGGTTTCAATGTTAAGGCACACCATGATAGAGACGGGAGGCAGCCAACCGTACCCTGGCAAAACCCTGCCTTCAAGCCTAAACAGCCTGAAGGCTGAAAAACCGAACTGGCTTCCCATATGAAACTCACCCTTTCCCAATTGATTGTTTCTGAATAATGTCGACCTATGCACTGGGAGGATGGGATGGGGCCTGGGGAAGTTCACTGGGGAAGTTCCTGTCATTTGCAGTGGGGAGGAGCCTGGCCTCTCCCGTTCCAGTGTGGTAACCTGAGGTTCAATCGGTGAGGCAGAGAGCTTGTTAGCAGGACTTCATCTCATTTTGCTGAGTTGTCAATTTCCACTCCTCACCCTTCTGTGTGTCTGTGAGCTTTATCTTTCCTGGTCACGTGACATGACCTGGTTTTTTTTCTATAACAATTCTACTTCCAGTTCTCCCTGGATCTCTCGAGTTTTTCACAGACATTCTTGTGTATTCGGTAAGGGCCCTTTCATCTGGTGAGTCTCCACTTTTCATTGTTATTTCATTTTATTCCACAGAATCTTTGTTCTGTTTTTCAGAAGCTTTCTCTACAGTTTTTTTCTGCTACCCAAGTAGCTCCAGTATATGTCGAACATTTGGAGGGGAAATTAATCATGAACTTGAGCTATTCAAATCTCCATGAAAGCTCTATACATGTCCTTCTCCCTCCACAGCAGCCCTCTTCCATGTTCTGGGCTCTGCAGAGGAATCTGTTACTTGCCCATGCTCAGAATTGGCAAAAATGCCTGGGATTAAAAGTCACTTCAAAAGGCAATCTTCCTTCTGAGAGTTTCTTCCTTCTCCATAATGTTCCTCCTCTAGATCTTGTTAAGAAACTCTTTGCTGCTTTCGGACAGGTGATTTCTAAATGCCATCTGGCATTTTTAGTTTTTCAAGGTGGGAGCCTTTATCTATTACCAGATATTCCAAACAACCCAGAAATAACATATAAAAATGTATTCCTTTAAAATACAAACTATTTGACAAACTTCCATCAGTGTTAGGTAGTTGACATGCCAATTTTTAACCAATTTCAGGGATTTTCACTGCCATCCTATGTTTTTTGATTGAAGGCAAGAGATCAGACTAGTGTAATCCAGTATTTATTGGCCCTAATTATCTCAGACACAGGAGTATGTTTTCAAACACTATCATGGAGTTATTTTTTACTGAAATATAAATAATATAATTTTGAATGAAGTCATTCTAATAAAGGCAATTCTATATTATAAACTCTTAAGTTATGACTGGTATGAAGAAAATGTAATAATAGTAAGGAGAGTGGTGATAATGACATTAATGATAAAATGTTCCAGGCATTGTGTATATTCCTATGTTTTGAATATTTTACTTATTTTTCATAGAAACTTTTAAGATATATATGATTAGTGTTTACATTTTCAAGTACTGAAACTGAGATTGAGGACAGTTAATTTACTTCTCATAACTATAGAATCATTAGTCTCTTTTAGATAGTACCCAGACAGCCTAATTCCATACTCTTTTAACATTAGGCTGTACAAAAAATAAATAAATAAAAAACAAGATTAGTCTCTAACCAAGGAAATAAACACTGTTTTATGTTATACATTTTCTATATTCCTAGAAGCCTTTAATAAGATGCTCCAGGTTAGCAGTTTTATTTCAACCCAAAGCATATGGATTGCTCCATTTGTGTGCTCTTGAGCAAAAGCTGAATTCAGAGGGATTTGGTAAATGAATGAAGTCACTCTCCCCTCAGGGATTGGGCAGTGCATATTCCAAAGAAGGAGATTCATAGAGAAAGAAGTCAAATTTATTTAACAAAAAAGTACATGAATATTTTGAAGAATATTAAAAACTCAACTATAATCTTACTAGATAATTACCAAGAATATGAAAATGTTAAATCTAGGTACTTAAAAGTCTCCAGGACACTTTAACCCTTGTATTTAACAGTATAAAAACAACCTCCACTTTGGATTTATGTTAGTCAATATTATATCCTTTGGTTTCTTTTGAAAGGCACCATAAGTCATGATAGACGGTAAATCTAATATAGTGACAATTTCAAAACAATTCAAACAGTTGCAGTGTAAGATCACTTTTTATGCATTTATTTGTCAGGCCAAGATTCTTTCATGAAACGCTTAACAATTATGTGAGATTTGTTGCTGTATTTCTCTAAACATTGTTCAAGTTCCTACATAAAAAAATTAATTTGCAACTGTTGCTATAATTTTTTTCTTCAAAAACTAGTAGTTACAATCTTATATTAAAAAAACACTTTTTGTCTTAAAATTGTTTCTTTTTACATCTTTAAAAAATCAACTCTATTAAATAACATTTTTAAAGTGCATATGAAAGTCTCAACCCAAAACCTTTGATGGGAGAAAAAAAAGTTTAATTTTTTTTTTAAAGATTTTGAAACAATGCCCAATAACCTAAACATGGAGACTTCTTATTTTTGCCTAGTCAAAATTCCAATTATTTTATTTGCAAAAAATCTGAATGAATGCAAAGATTTTGCATATCTCATCCTTAATAGAAGCCAGATCTGCATTTCAACCCCAGGAGGCCAGGTCCCATTGAGAATGAAATGTGAGCACAGAAAGCTCATTCTGAACCTTATTTTGGACAGTAGTCTTACAATTTTGCTGGTACTTTGAGTATTCTCAAGGTACCTGAGAATTATCCTGAAGACAGAATTTTCTCAGATAGTTATTTGTTCTGTTTTCATCAGACACACTACCATACAAACCAGAGCAAGCTTAGTAGTGGTTTCCTTATCAACTAGCATCTCTATTTAACACTTATAGTAATGATTTGAAGACGTTTTTATTTGTGATAAGAAATTAAAAAAAACTATTTCTGTAGTAAGCTATCTGCAATGCTCTAGTGTTAGTTAAACTCAGTTTGATGGATTTTGAAATAAAAAACAATCATTTATAGCCCAATCTTTTTCTTTTTCTTTAAAGCAGGGGTTCTACTGGTAATCCTTTCTAGCTATCAGCAGCAATAACAGTCAAGGAAGAAATGTTTTCTCCCAAAGAGCAAAACTTAATATTTACAACAGCAACAAAAAAATGGTACAAAAGGCCACAGAAAAACCTGTAATACTGCAATATTGATGGGATAAAAGCACATAATTGGCTCCCTTGAAAGTCTTATCAGACCGGAAATATTAGCTCACATAAAATTATCCAATTAGGTCAAGATCCAGGGAAGAAAACATTTTCTCAAAGGCATTTTTGTAGTTAAAGTCAGTAAAATAATAATCTTTACCATTCTTAATATTGTATTTCATAAACCTATATAATGAAAGAATATTCCCCTTAAACTAAAAGTATAGGTAAGTATGTTCTACATTTTCGTTTGTTAAAAATATAGTTTACTGGTTTTCTTATGATGCTTTATTTTTCTCATAATTAGCTATACAATTTTCATTTGCATTTTTTCTTTTAGCATGAATATGAGTCAAATCTGAAGGGCTCAGAACATTCAGGACATACACAAATGTGATGCAAAAAAACTTATTTATTGAAGACAATTTTGTTAGAGCTGCTGTTTCCAGGAGTCCTATGAAAGTAAGCAAAAGTTTCTGTTGTAGTAAGTGTCATACCATATAGAATTACTTTTTAAATATTCAGCTAAAATTACTTTTGTGCTTTTATTTGCTTTTTTATAAAAAGTAAGTTTTGAATTATGTGGAACACTGATTTACCTTTCAGCCTAGTAGCAGCTTCTAAATCACTTTTTATTTTTTTTTGCCTTTAGGCTGTGTACAAAAAAGCATGATTTCTGGCAGTGAATATGAGCAGCTGGTGCTAAGGTTATTAAATAAGGTGTATCCTAGATGCACTTAACTTTTTGGGAATGTTGTTACATGCAAAACATATGGGAAAGATGCCAGTCCACTTAAAGTAAGGAAAAAAATCATGCTCATTTATTTAAATTTTGTTTTAAGTGCATATATAAGTGCCTACAGATAAACTTTGCTGAAGTGAAGTTAAAATAGCATGTCCTTTAAAAAAAGTACTGTATTAAATAATTAGTTTTATCCAGAATATAGATGTCTCCAAACACTCTTTGCATAAATATTATCCAAGAAGACAATTACTGTTCACCAAGACTTGCAATTTTATAAAGATTCAGAGAGTAAAAAGTTTCCTATATACTTGTAAGAGGAAATGGACACAAGCTAAATTAATTAATTAATTAATTAATTCTTGGTATTTAAAAGTACCAAAAAAGTAAGGTTTTAAGGTTTTTTAGTTATTAAATATAACATATTCAGCACACATATGACACATATGATATGCTACTTATGTTAATTTAGTATATTTGTACCTGGACAGAATGAGATCCAGCTGCTTGCTCTCATGGTCCAATAACATGATTCAGATAGACTGGAAAAGAAGGGAGTTTATTTCAGCAACTGATTACAGCTAGAAGGTTGGAGTAACTCATCAGACCAATTAAAATTTACAAGTTTTTGTTCTAGTGCTTGTATACATTTTAGACATGAAGTCTACAAGTGGGAGTGCACCTACAAGCAGGAGTGTTTCATTCAATCTATATCTAATCTTTAACTGGGATCTGGGGTCTGGAAAGCTTTCTCTAGAGTCTTAGAAAGTTTCTTAATTTTAAGTGGGCCCTGGTACAAAGTGCATGTCTAAGAAAGCTTGTATTATTTGGTCAGACTTTAAGGTCTGAGAAAACCCAGGTGGGGTCTTAATGGATTTGTTTTTACATTGCAGCCCTTGTACTCCCACGCACATTCCTCCAGTTCTTTAATGTTTGACTTATGCAGTCATCAAAATTATAGCAAAGGGTTAGTGGAATTGATGTAGTTACCAATGGACAAAATGATAAAGGAAATATGGTATATGTATATATAATTAAATACTATTTGAAATAGTTATCAATGGACAAAATGATAAAGAAATATGATATATGTATATACAATTGAATACTATTTGGATATAGAAATAATGAAAACATGTCATTTGCAGCAACATGCATGAAACTAGAGGTTGTTATGTTAAGTGAAATAACCCAGGCACACAAAGGCAAATATTGCATGTTCTTATTCAGATGTGGAAGCTAAACAATGTTGATACCTGGAGCAGAGCAAGCTTCTCTAACCTGGGTCCCGAAGGCTGCATGGGGCCCGCAGGCTTCAGGCAGCCCAGGATGGCTTTGAATGCGGCCCTAGACAAATTTGTAAACTTTCTCAAAACGTTATAAGGTTTCTTGTGATTTTTTTTTCTTAGCTCATCTGCTATCAGTAGTGTATTTTATGTTTGGCCCAAGACAATTCTTTTTCTTCCATTGTGGCCCAGGGGTGCCAAAAGATTGGATATCACTGGAGTAGAGAGTAGAATGATAGTTACTAGGGTCTGGGAAGGGTGTGGGTATGTGTGTGTTAGTGGAGGTGAATGAAGAAAGATTGATGTAATGGGTACAAACAGAGTTAGATAACAGAATTAAGTTCTAATGTTCAATAACACAGTAGGGTGACTATAGTTGACAACAAGGTATTGTATATTTCAAAATAGCTAGGAGAGCACCTGAAATGTTCTCAATATGTAGAAATGCTAAGTGTTCAAGGTGACAGATATCCTAGATATCCTGAGTTGATCATTACACACTCTATGTATGTAACAAAATACCATATGTACCTCATAAATATACACAAACATTATGTATTAATAAAGAAGATAATATAAAAATTCCTGTAAAGATAAAATATGTAGTATTTAAAAATATAAAATGATTATATGTCATGAATATTCCTAAACTGAAAATAGTGTTTTCTATTAAAATGCCTTTTTAAAATACTTATAATGTAGTTAATGTTTTTAGCCATTGCACCTTATCAAGAAAACAACATAAAGACACACATAAGGAAACTTATAAAGAAAATGTATTTATTTGTAAGAAATACTGTATTTTTAGACTAGGTTAATTAGGTAAATGCTATACTTTTAAGCAAGGTTACATGTTACATTTTTATAAAATTGTTTTGTATAATATTTATTTGATTGCAATTGTTTTTTGACATTCAGAAAATGATACTTTTTATGTGTTAATTTTAACTATCTCCCTCAGTATAAAAGTATTATGCTCACTGATGTCATAATATAAACTTCTACTGGTTATTAGCATAATTTTATATATTTTGTTGAAATTTCTCTTGATATGTACCACTTGTTATCAGACTTTGGAAATATCTACATATAGAGATAGTGTATTTTTTTAAATAAAACTTGCTACTCTTATGCTTAAAATATTTGCATGAAAGTATCTCTATATGAAAAATGTGACTCTCTAAGAGTGGTACATTAAAATTACCAATGTGAAATAAATCTGTTTTGCACCACTCAATTAAGTAAGTAAAACACTTTTTTAATGTATCTTTGACTTCTGATAATATGAAAAATAAATTATGGAATCAAGGGCAATGACCTTTGAGCCTTACTGATCCTCTCATAGAACAGAAAGTATAAAGAGAATGTTTCCTGCAGCACATGAATGTGTAGAGAATAAAGAATTTCTGAGACTGTGTTGTGTCTTTAAAATAGATTTTTGCTTTCCATAAGATATCGACAGTATTTATTTCAAAGTTTTTTCTAATTATTCATAAAAAATTACTCGTTTCAATAATTTTATTCATTTTGTTTATAGTTATGATAGCATTCTTAATAGTTTTAGAAAATTAGCATATGACAAATTGTATAGAATAAAAAACATTTGTGATGAAATATTTGAAGTATTGAAGAGATACAATTAGAAGAGATGTTGTCAAATGTATTCATTTATGTTTCTGAATAACTCAGGTGAGGTTTATGTTGCAGATTAAAAAACAAATAAAATATTTAGATTTTTAAACTCTCTAACTTATATAGCATTAATTATTTTAATCACTATATGTACATTTAGGCTTAAAAACAGAAGCTGTAAGGCTAAAAAGCACAAAAGACCCAATTACAACACATACAACGGCAGATCTAAAAATACTGTTATCTTTCAAAAACCATGGGAAATTGGTTTCAGGCTTTCCCCCACACAAGGATACTCAGGGATGCTCAAGTACCTTTTATAAAATGGAGTAGTACTTACATATAACAAACACACACTCTCCAGTATACTTTAAATCATCTCTAGATTACTTATATTACTTAATACAGTGCAAATGTTATTTAAATAGTGGTTATACTGTATTTTTATCTGTATTATTTTTATTGTTTTATTGTTAGTTTTATTGTTTTCCCCCAATATTTTCAATCTGTAGTTGGTTGAATACATGGATACGGAATACAGATATAGGGGGCCAACTGTACTTCAAATCATTTCTAGATTACTTAGAATTCCTAATACAATGTAAATGCTATTGAACTTGTTGTTACACTTTCTTTTAAAATTTGTTTTTTTGTTGTTGTATTTTAAAATTATTTTTATTTGTAAATATTTCTCATCTGTTGTTGGTTGAATCTGCGGATGTGGGACCCACAAATACAGAGGGCCAACTGTATATATTCCCTAGACCCCATTGATTGTTTCCCTCTTACACTGCTCAGACTCAGAGACAAAGCTGTATAACCTTATTAAATTCTGCATAGTAGAGAAAATAGTGAAGTTTAAGAAGTATATATGTTTAAATCTGCCTTTGGATGTGTTGTCTCTGGTCAAGAATGCATTGATAATCTCTGGGAGGTAAACCTAAGAGTAAGGTCCAGCCTCAGGGTTGTCAAAATTGTTGACTGGAGAATCCCATTATAATATCTTCAACTGTCTATCTTAGTATAGAGGTTTTACACTTGTATTTTTACTTTAAGGTATTCCATTTAGCAGCATTGAATATCAGACACATCCTTAAGGAGATTATCAACAAGGATAGAGTACTAATACAATTTGGGTCAGCAGGGAAATACTGTGTTCATTTATATTGTTGAACCTTTTTAAGTTGTCTACAAAATTGCCACTCAATGTATTCAATTGCTGCCACAATTTTTGGATATAAGACCACTGATGTCTTTATGACTTTGCAAATTGCTCAATAATTTATTTTCGGGGAGATGATTGAATTTTGTTTTTGGTAGGAGCTCAAAGAAAAGCATTAACAAAGAGCAGGACCTTCAGATTATAATACATATGGAATATAAACAATAATAGTAACATTAGTTGTTTATTATGCTAGTCATATCACTTTCTGGGTCAAATAATTATCCCCAAAACTCATAATAGAATTTGTATTATTTTGATTTTCATTTTAGATATAATAATATTAATGTTGATAAAGTTTATAAATTTCTAATAATCACATATCTAATAAACCAAGAAGGCAGGATTCAAACTCATGAAACCTGAATTATCAAGTCTTATCAAGAATTATCAAGAATTATCACCTGAATTATCACCTGAATTATCAAGAATTATCACACTTTTAAATGTTATATAATATGAAAATAGTGGCAGATAACTGAAGACAAAGAAACAAGATCAAATAATATCAGTAATCTGATGAAATTAATTATTTTACAGATCATAATAATATATAAAGGTTTTTTATACTGCATGAAAATTATATATTTGTATCTGATACAATGAACAAACAAGGCTCATACCATGGAAACATGAGCAATTTTCTCTTTTTACTCAAGATGTATTCAGAATAGTGATTCAAGGTGGCTCACTAGAGGCATCTGGCATTCATCTGCTCCACAAAGAAAAAACAAAAATAGTGAGTTGATAATTATACTTCAAATAGAGTTTCAGGAAGGAACACTAGAATTCAGCAGAGAAGTGACAGAAAAGACCTCAGGCATTAAAGAGGGAAAGTGAGGTAGCTAGCCCCAAAGCTCCCTAGCAAAGAGAAAAGATATGTGAGAGAGCCTGGTAGTCCACATTCCCACTGCAGACTCCTGCAATTCTAGTCATGAGAGAGAGACACCCCCTAAGACTTGTGGGCCCTGAAACTAGGATAGTGAACTGCCTGGGGTATACATGATGGAAATGTTTCAGAGAGGGAGTTCATGCTGGGTCCCACATGCCCCACATCTGAAGATGGGATTTTCCATAAGAAGAGACAAAGAAGGTTACTAAATAATGATAAAGGGGGTAAATTTACAAAATAATATAACAATTTTAGATATATGTGCAACCATCACTGGAGCACCCAAACAATAATAAGGAAATATTATTAGAGCTCAAGAGAGAGACAGGACTCAATACAATAGTAGCTGTAGACCTCAACACCCCACTTTCATCATTGGACAGATCTTCCAGACAGAAAATCAATAAACATTGGACTTAATCTGCACTATAGACTACATGGACCTAACAGATATTTACAGAACATATCATCCAAGAGCTGCAGAATACACATTCTTTTCCTTAGCACATAGATTATTCTCAAGGATAGACCATATGTTGAGTCACAAAACAAGTCTTAAAACATATAAAAAAAACTAAAATAGTTTTAAACCTCTTCTATGAACACAATGGAATAAAACTAGAAAAAATAGCAAGAGGAATTTTGGAAACTATACTAACTAATACATGAAAATTAAACAATATGCTCCTGAATGACCATTGGGTCAATGAAGACATTAAGAAGGAAATTGAAAATTTTCTTGAAACAAATGAAAATGGAAACACAATATACCAAAATGTATGGTATACAGCAAAAGCAACACTGAGAGGAAAGTTTATATCTATAAGTGCCTACATCAAAAAAGAGAAAAAGCTTTAAAAAACAATCTAATAATGCATCTTAAAGTTCTAGAAAAGCAAGAGTAAACCAAGCCCAAACTTAGTAGAATAAAAGAAATAATAAAGATTGGAGCAGAAATAAACAAACTGAAATTAAAACAATACAAAAGATCAGTGAAAGAAAAAGTTGTTTTGTTTTTAAAGTTAAACAAAATTGACAAATCTTTAGCCATACTAACTTAGAAAAAAAGAGAAAATCCAAATAAATAAAATCAGAAATGAAAAAATGACACTTTACAACTGAACTGCAGAAATTCAAAATATCATTAGTGGCTACTATGAGCAACTGTATACCAATAAATTGGAAAATCTGGAAGAATAGACAAATTCCTAGATACACACCACCTATCAACATTGAACCAGGTAGAAATCCAAAATCTGAACAGAACAATAACACATAACAGGATTGAAGCTGTAATAAAAAGTCTGCCAGTATAGAAGAGCCTGGGACCTGATGGCTTTACTACTGAACTCTACCAAACTTTTGAAGAAGAATTAATACCAATACAACTCAAACTAGTCTTAAAAATAAAAGAGGAGGGAATATTTCCAAACTCACTCTACACGGCCACTACTATCCTGATACTAAAACCAGACAAAGACACATCCAAAAAGTAAATAAATAAATAAAACTGCAGGCCAGTAACTCTGATGAATATTGATGCCAAAATCCTCAAGAAAATACTAGCAAACCAAATTCAACAATACATTGGAAAGATAATTTGTCATGACAAAGTGGAATTTATCCCTGGGATACAAGGATGGTTTGAGATATGCAAATCCAATCAATGTGATATATCAACAGAATGAAGGATAAAAATCATATGATCATTTCAACTGATGTCAAAAAAGCAGTTGATAAAATTTAACATCCCTTCATGATAAAAGCCCTCAGAAAATTGGCATAGAAGGAACATACCTCAACATAATAAAAGCCATATATGGCAGACCCACAGCTAGTTTCATACTGAATAGGGAAAAACTGAAAGTTTTTCCTCTAAGATCTGGAACACAACAAGGATGCCCACTGTCGCCACTGTTATTCAACATAGTACTGAAGTCCTACCTAGAGCAATCAGACAAGCGAAAGATATAAAGTCTATCCTAATTGGAAAGGAATAAGTCAGATTTTCCTTGTTTGCAGATATTATCATCTTAATTTGGAAAAACTGAAGACTTCACAAGAAAACTGAGAACTGATAAATTCAGTAAAGTTGCAGAATACAAAATCAACATACAAAAACCAGTAGCATTTCTATATTCTAACAGTGAACATTGTGAAAAAGAAATTAAAAAATCCCCTTTATAATAACCATATATAATATTATATATCTAAAAATTAACCAAACAAATGAAAGATTTCTACAATAAAAACTATAAAACACTGACGAAAAATATTGAAGAGGACAACAAAAAATCTTCCATGTCCATTGATTGGAAGAATCAGTATTGTTAAACTGTCCAAACTACTGAAAGCAATCTACAGATTCAATGCAATCCCTATCAAAATACCAATGATATTTTTCACAGAAGTAGAAAAAAAAATCCCAAATGTATATGCAACCACAAAAGACCCATGATAGCCAAAGCTATCCTAACTAAAAAGAACAAAATAAGGAATCACATTACCTGACTTCAAATTATACTACAGAACTATAGTAACAAAAACAGCATGCTACTGGCATAAACACAGACACATAAATCAATATAACACAATAGAAAATGCAGAAACAAATCCACATACCTATAGTGAACTCATTTTTGACAAAAATTGCCAAGAACATACACTGGAGAAAAGAGAGTCTCTTCCTCAAATGGTGCTGGGAAAAATGGATATCCATATGTGGAAGAATTAAACTGAACCCTATCTCTCATCATATACAAAAATTAAAACAAAATGGATTAAAGACTTAAGTCTAAGCTTTCAAACTATGAAAGTACTGCAGGAAAACATTGGAGAAGCTCTCCAAGATACTGGTCTGGGCAAAGATTTCTAGAGCAATACCGCACAAGTACAAGTGAGCAAAGCAAACATGGACAAATGGGATCACATCAAGCTAAAAAGCTTTCGCACAGTAAAGGATACAATCAACAAAGTGAAGACAACCCACAGAATGGGAGAAAATATTTCCAAACTACTCATCTGACAAGTGATTAATAACCAGATTATATAAGGCTCAAACAACTTTATGGGTAAAGATCTAACAATCAAAGAAATGGGCACAAGAATTGATGAGACATTTCTCAAAAGAAGACATACAAATGGTAAACAGGCATATAAAAAGGTGCTCAGCATTGCTGATCATCAGAGAAATGAAAATCAAAACTACAATGAGATATGATCTCACCCCAGTTAAAATAGCTTACATTCAAAAGACAGGCAATAACAAATGCTGATGAGGATGTAGAGAAAAGGGAACCCCAGTACCTTGTTGGTGGGAATGCAAATTAGTACAACGACTATGGTGAACCCTTTGGAGGTTCCTCAAAAAACTAAAAATTGAGTTACCATATGATCCAGCAATCTCACTGCTGGGTATATACCCAAAATAAAGGAAATCATTATATCAAAGACATTTCTGCACTCCTATGTTTGTTGCAGCACTGTTTACAATAGCTAAGATTTGGAAGCAACCTAAGTGTCCATCAATGAATGGATATAGACAATGTAGTATTTATACACAAGGGTATATTATTCAGCTTTAAAAAATAATGTGATCCTGTCATTTACAACAACATGGATGGAACTGGAGGTCATCATGTTAAGTGAAATAAGTCAGAAAGACAAACATTACATGTTCTCATTTATTTGTGTGATCTAATAATTGAAACAATTGAACTCATGGACATAGAGGGTAGAAGGATGATTACTAGAGGCTGGGAAGGGTAGTGGGGTCTGGAGGGGTGGTAGAGATGATTAATGGGTACAAAAAATAGAAGAATGAATAAGACCAACTATTTGATAGCACAACAGGGTGACTATAGTCAATAACAACTTAACTGTACATTTTAAAATAACTTAAAGGTTGTAATTGGATTGTTTGCAACTCAATGGATAAATGCTTGAGGGGACGAATACCCATTCTTCAAGATGTGCTTATTTCACATTGCATGTCTATATCAAAACATTTCATATACCCCATAAATATATACACCTAATATCTACCCACAAAAATTAAAAAACAAATAGAGAGAGAGAGGAGAGGTAAGGAAGGAGAGGAAGAAAGAGAAAAAATTACCACAAAAATGTATATTATATGAGAAGTCATCTCATATGAAAAGGCATAAATATATTAATTTTATAGATAACTGAATATAAAATAAGTCAATATTCAGTAAATAACATTTGCTGTTGAAATAAGATATGAAAACATAGTGGTAAAAAAATAAATATGTTGAAAAAGCAGGTATGGGCCACATAATAAAGAATTATGTATGTGATGCCATCTTCAGAAGAATGGAGAACCAAAGAGAGTTTTAAATCTGGAAAGTTTCATCTTCATAGTTATATTTTTAAAAATATTTGAGAGAATAATGCATAATGATGTTATGAGAGGTAAAACTGGTAGCAGGAGAAAATGTCAAGCAGTAAACATGATATTCTAATTTTTCTAATGAAAAATGAAGAAAACTAAATTTCAGCGGCTGTCAAAGGCTGAGAGAGAAAATAACTCAAGAAATATTGAGAAAGTAAATTTTATAGGTCTCTGAAACAAATTAGATGTTTGGTGTTAGATTTTAAAATGTATTAATTATATAAATGTGTATGTATATAGTTTTCATGAGATGCAGAAAACCACTCTTTTTCTTTTTTTCTGACAATGATACCAAATTTTCTTTTATAACAACAGTGCTTTAAACTATTCTTACGAGTCCCTTCAATGTGTATTCCAGCAGATGCTGTCTATGTCTAACTAACTCTGTAAGCTCCTTTTTTGATTCCTCTGCCTGAAGATTTTGTCTCCACTGAAGCTTGGTCCACCTCAATGCAGTAGACTGGTGGGCAGATGGAGTATAGCATTGTGAGAAGGAAGTAAATGTCATGGGGTCCTTATGTGAGATGATACTGAAGTTTCTTTTTAGAAGTTTCTTAGCAGGATTCAGGTCTATTTACCTCTAGCAATAACTCACTCATCAATATATTCTTTACTGGTTTTCCCTAAGCCCTGTTTCTCTTGTCTAATTTCTCACTTCTGCTTCCTGGCATCATCAACCAAAAGAATTACCTGCACCCAAGCCCTGGTTTCAGGCCTTATTTGGAAGGAATTCAAAATGAAGACCAGTATCAATTGCATTGCATTGATCTTGCTATAAATAAGAGATCCCTTAATAGGTATGAAAGTAAGGCAAGATATAAAAGTTATTATCGTTGTAAAATCTATGACTAAAATGGATTGAAATTTACAGAACTCCAGAAAAATATTTGATTTAAGTTTGGAAACCAGTTTGTGCACTAACTTGCCATCATATATTATAATTAACTATTTAAGATTAATTTTCACCATTTCTAGAAAATCACACTTTCCACAGTCTCCATGCTTTTGAAAAATTAGAAGTAATATTATGAAACAAAAGAGACATTTATTAATTTCATGACTAAGATATTATAAAACACAGCTATGTGGAATATTCCTTATATAGGCACTTAAGTAATATGTCTTTACATTTTTAGCACTGCTTTTCATTTCTTTTAACCTGCTATAAGTATAGCTTATAAAGTTACCTTACATAAAATATTATACAAAACTTTCAGTAAAAATATAACCAAGAAAATATTGATTTGACTTTAATAATGACTCATAGAATTATAATATTTTACATTTCTAAAACCCATCAAAATTTTTGAGCAAAGGGAACCTTTACAGTCAGTCCAACATTCCACTTAAATTTAAGTCACAATTATTATTAAGAGCTCACTAGGAACCAAACTGGCAGAAAAAACTCTTTTCCTAAATACATCTCAATAAGCTTAAGTGTATGCTAGTATTTGGAAATAGACCTTACATTTCATTTTATTCTCTGGTTGTGTGCACAGCAACAATTCACTTGTAGTTCCAAAATTTATTTCCATTGAGTTTTATATTTTTTTGTATATATATATCTTGTTTTGTATTGCTTCTTTTCTTTAATATTCTTTTGAATAAAATTTTTTAATGGCTTGTCATCTTCTTGATAGCATGAGACATTGTTGAAACAAATGTTTCTTGCTTCCATTGTAAATAAAATAAATGGGTCATTTGCTGGGTTAATATGGAATATTTATATCAACTATGTCACATGTAACTGCTTTCCTTTGTAAATGATATACAAACTTGCCATGAAAAAGATCAATTGTGTAAATCAACTATCAAGATTAAATTTATCAAATCTTTTTATTTTAATGGAATTTTATTGGCTGACTTTAGAAAGTTTTCTCATTAAAACAATCTTTGCTCTCCTTGATTATATGGCTTCAGAATGTTGGAATTTTAAAGCTATATTTGCATAAACCTAACCATGGTTGCCTATCAAATATTTTCCAAAAGCTTCTCAATAATATTGCCATTTATTTTCTTTTCCATGGGGATGCAGCAGACACATCATGCAGCCAATAGGAAATAATTTGTCAGCCAAACCACATTCCAACCTAATTATGCCCACCTGGTACAGAGGAACTCTACACATGTGCAAAGAGTGATGAAATGAATATGCTGTCTTTTTTAATGCAATCAACAGTGATATTCAAATGTGATTCTTTGCTTGCTGTTAAGTTTTATTAAACACAATGAAAAAAATGAAAACAAGGTTTCCAAGTGTCATAAAAAAGATTAAAGCACAAAATACAGGAAATCCCTCATAAAATCCATGAAACATTCTAAATCTAGAAAAATTCATCTTTGATTAGGGAAAGAAACAATGCTAAATTTTCTCAAAAGGAAGTTTACAATTTTCTAACAAGATACATGGTAATATATTCAAGCAAATTTTTTTTAAGCTGCTTGCTTCTAATGTTATTTGCTTGATGAATAAAAAGTCCATTATTTTTCATCAGTATGCTGGATGTCAATTCTATTTTTTGCCTGGTAAGTTATTTCACCTGAAAGCTGTTAAATGGCACATAGACATCTGTGTTGTCCTGCCGATCGAGAGTCCAAGTGTTCTGGCAGGCATTCAAAATGATTAGCAATAGAAAATCTCATTTGGAAAAGAGAACATTCATAGAGACTTGAGTTCAATGACTTTCCTTTGTGTCTAAACTGCAGGACTAAGAAGTTTTCACTTTTAAATATTAAAAACACACATCTTGAGAGTAGATGTTGATAGTGTTGATGCTTTTGTTAATGAATAACAGCTTTTTATTTGTGTTCTCTCTAAAATGTTGGCATCCAAAGAACTTTGCAATATGCCCACTACATTGCTTTCCAATTTTTCCCTGAGGCACCCATACATTTTATATCATTAAACTATTTTGTTATTTACTCAACATTTTTAAAGCTTATTTTAAAAGTTTTAGGCATTTTAATGTTCAAGCGTTTTTTTTTTTCTTCTCTTTTTATGCCCGGGTCATCAAGATTCCTAGTGTCAGAATTCTCCCCAAACTTGGTAAGACTTACATATTTAAGTTCTGATTACACTCTGAAGTTTTGACCTAACTCTAAAAGTCTTCTCAGATTTCATTATGTGATGTCCATTGATTCAATTATTCTCCATTAATGTATGTAATCTTTAGGTGAATATTTGTGGGGTTATAATTAAATTAATGGTTGTCTGGCAAAATATATGTTTTCCAAAATATTCAGCACCACTCCCTGTGAGATGATAATGCATACCAATCATTCATCTCAGGCATCATCAAGTGACTTGCTTTGGCCAGTGACATGTGACATTCATTTATCACTTCTGAACATAAATCTGAAGAGCCAGTTTATGGTGGAATTCTTTTCTTTCTGCTCTGCCTTGATAACAGAAGAAATGTTCTAAAGAGAGATTGTTGCATTGACTTGGGTCCTTCAGAAAAACACAATAAATAATAAAACCATAGCCAAATCACTATAGACATATACAGTAAATGAGAACAAATATTCATCATAAGCCACTGAAATTTAGATGTGTTTGATATAGCTCCTTAATGTGGCCTGTTCTGACAGAAACAGAAATCACTATTTGAAGAGTGATAAGATCTCAGGGGGAGAGGCTCTTTTTTGGCAAACAGGGTGATATAGCAGAAAGCACTTGTATCCAAATCCTGTCTCTACTTTTTAAATACATTTGTTCTTTTGCAAATTAATTGATTCTGTGGGCCTAAGGTTTTATATCTGAGTAAAGTTTACAACAGTAAATATCTCTGTTATCCTGAAGAAAAATGATTTCACTCCCAGCAAGAATGATAATCATTTTAATACGTAGTTACACAATCATTTTAGCTGCTAGAAACTCTGTACACATGGTCTAGTGTGTTGTACGCCAGTTCAGAGAGAAAATGGTAGAAAGATTCTTCCTTCCTTATTTATATTATCTGTCCCATATAGTTAATGAAATGGATGGCCTGTGTTGAAAAATCCTGGCTATTACTTGCACAAAGTGTTACACCTATGACATCACACAACTTACTAGATTTTCACAATAGAATCTTAGAACAAGGGATAAAAAGACTGATTGAATTCAGTTATAGTGACAAGCTCATTAGTACCTAGCAATATTACCTACAATAGCACTAAAGCAAAAATGGAACAATGCAAAATAGAATTCTGTGAACAAAACCTTCTTCTTGAAAAGAAAGTACACTGCTTAAGCAAAATATGATAGTAATCTATCTGCCTATTTGAGATTGCTTCTTTGATATATATGATTTCAGTTTAAATATTTTTTCAGGGATATTGTTATCTGGTCTTTCTCATGGCATTTTTCAAAAAAGCATCTGAAAATCAGTGCCAATAACAGCCAGGAAGGATATACATATACATGAATAATGAAAAAGTGTGGTAAATTGGAAAATTGAAATGCCAGCTCAATGGGATTCCAGCTATTTAGTTCCAAAAACTGTTTCTTGTTTAGTTTTTATAGAAATGAAGAAATAAGGATTCCGTGTCACCAGATGTACTAGTTCATTTTCACGCTGCTATAAAGAACTACCTGAGACTGGGTAATTTCTAAAGGAAAGAGGTTTAATTGATTCACAGTTTAGCATCGCTGGGGAGGCCTCAGGAAACTTATAATCATTGCAGAATGCAAAGGAGAAGCAAGGCACCTTCTTCATAAGGTGGCAGGAAGGAGAAGTGCTGAGCAAAGGGGAAAGAGCTCCTTATAAAACCATCAAATCTCGTGAGAGCTCACTCACTACCACGAGAACAGCATGGACGACACTGCACCCCATGATTCAATTAGCTCCACCTCGTCTCTCTCTTGACATGTGGGGATTATGGGGATTACAATTCAAGATGATATTTGGGTGAGGACACAAAGCCTAATCATATCACCAGATAGTCCCCTTTTTATTTAAGTAATAAAACTATATACATTTATATGGAATCTTCTAATTTTAAATTTTGCCAAGTACTTAATTCTTTTTGTAAGATGTAATTCAGCTGTGTGTAAACTAAACAAAAAACCAGATACAGTCTTCAAATGCAGTTTATAATCATGAGTTTATGGATTTATAATGAAAAGTATATGGAATTATATGGAAACAGTTAATACTAGAAAAAATAATTATCTCCTGGTACAACTTTCATTGGATTAAGAAAACCCTCATTGATATACATTTAAAAGACAGAGGTCTGAGGTCACTTTCTAGTATGTAACAAATTTATTTTTTCTGCCTTACAAGTAGAATACGTATGAAAATAGAGTTGTTTGAGAAACCATTTCTCTACTGGCTGCTGCTTCACTGTTTGATCTTACCATGTCTTACTCTTCTCCTCTCACATTTACTTTATTTCCATTGTTTAAAAACATCAAATTTTTGTGCTAGAGACTTCGCCAAATTTTTTCTGGGGCAGCACTTCTCCCAGAGCTTGAAGTGACTATTACTGCTCATCATTTAGGTTACAACTATTCAAAAATATCTTACCTGATCACTCTATCTAAAATAACACTGTCACATTGACTAGTTTTTTGTTTGTTTTGTTTTCATGCTTTGTTATTATGTCCTTATTTGGTCTTAGTTTGCCTTTTATTTTTTACTTTTCAGTCTCTATACATGCACTTAAGCTTGTGATACAAAGGAGGTTTTCTAATACACACAGCCTTAGCCTCAGATAGAAGAGAGTTTGAGGGTGTGTGTGTGTGTGTGTGTGTGTGTGTGTGTGTGTATGTATTATTTAAGCACTGAATAAAATTTGTTTTGGGTTAATATGTCCTTCCATGCTGATGTCATGATTAAATATGCAACATCCAGAAATCAGTCTGAATTTCCTCACTCATGAATTAAAACTACCTGTTGAAAAACTATAGTTTCTGCTATTTTATAATGTTTCTTGATCACTACTTGATATGTAAAATTTTTCTCTACTTGATATGTAGAATTTATTTGATTTGAAGAGTGTTTTATATACTGACACTTGACATTAGGGGGAATCTATTGGTTACTAACAATAGCAAAATGTAAAAATCCATCTGACAATATTTTACTATTTATGATTAAGAATAATTTGTCTCACTATTTCAGAATATTTGTCATTTGGCTCTACAACCTTGACAACTATATTATAATCATTCAAGTAAATAATGATGATGATGATGTTTGTGACTTATTCCAGAGTTTCTGATAAAATTGGCCAGGAGTTAAAGTTAGCCTGCTGTAGTACTTAGAAAAGCTCACTCACGTAATTGTAGCCAAAACATGGGATCATGAGAACAACTTGCTTATTAGAAGACAAGTTGATGCCACTGCCAATAAGTCTAACCAGGGAGGGTAGGCAATGCTGATTCTTTTGATATTTTTAAAATTAAGATCATTATAAGGACGTAGCATAACATTGCAAAATATTTCAGGAATATATGGAGTTTTTGAGCCTTAAGCATTTTTAAAATCGAAACTGCTCATTTGAACTAGAAACTTCCTTTCTGTTTGTGATGCTATCAGGCATCACATAACAAACTCCAAGCTTTCACTAAGTCAGATAATTCTTTATCTTCTTTATGATTTTTAACATACTATGTCTAAAAGAAGCTCGAATTCCTTTCAGGTCGTAATGTTTCTCCACACCTTGCTTCTAGTTGATAGGAAGGGTGTATCTAATTTTACATATAGGTTAAGGGATTATGTTTTTGGTAACATGAAAATTTAATTTTGCTTTAGTTTAGTTCTAGTCCTTACATGGTAGTAGTCTATCTTATTTTAGCATTTTTCAAAACTAATAAAGATATGTCAGTTCATGCTTCTTAATTATTTGTAATATAAACATCCACATACACATATATTTAAGAAATTTTCACCTGAGTTAAAAAGTTAAAAAAAAGTTTTTTTTTATTTTAAAATAAACTTTTCTACTGTTTCACAGAAGAAAAAAAGAGTCATTAATTAAAAAAACCCTCTAAGCAAAGGCACTCAATACATAATGCATTCAACACAATATGCAATAAAATTTACCCAATACATAAGGGAATACCAAAGTGGTAGAAACTGTTTATTAGTACTTATACAAACTTCTTAATCCATCACAATATTAGACATCATGATTATGGTTTCTTATTATAACATAATGAAACATCTTTTTTCAAAGATATAAGGGGAAAATATGGAACAAGATAAAAGTTATTAAAGCTACTCTGAATAAAGTAGATATGACAGAAAACTGGAATATAAAACCAAGGAAACAATGTTTTTCCTTCTCAGTCGTAATAAAGACTAGGCTTTCATCAACCAAGAGGAAGGGTTTTTTCATTAATTCTTTGAACAAATGCTTCATGAATATCTGATATATATGAAACAGATGTATAACACCCTTCTTGATTATCAGTAGCTAACACTAGAAAGCTAAGACATAAATATCAATTATTAAAATGCAAAGTAGTACAAGCCATAAAATTGGTACTAGGGGACTGCTATAAAAGTCTGGAGGTGGGAGAGATGTTCTGAAATTAAGGTAATCAGAAAATAATTAAGAGACAGTAATCTTTGAGGTGGTTTTTATAGTAAATTAAGCAAGGAAAACAACGAGTAGTATTCTAGACATATTCCACCTATAGTTATACAAAACTGTAATTCCTATTCAAGGAATGTCGGCTCCTTACTTCGATAGAATTAAGATCAATGTCTGTGAGCACCAGAAAATATGTGTTGAATGAATTGACTAAATCAATTAATCTGAAAACGTAAACTGGAGCCAATCTACAGAGTCATTTAAAGACAGGACTAAAAATATCAACTTTTCTTCTATGAAGTATTCTATGTGTTCCAAATAAGAATGTATCCCAATCACACAAATGATTTAGGCAAATTGGGCTGACCATAGTACAAAAGATAACTTAAAGGAAGATGTTACAAGTAAAGTAAATACAAGAGGAATATAATAGAAATAGCCTTTGTATGATAAAGTGTACACGGAGGTTGCAGAAGGTAGAGAGAATTATAGGAATATTATTTTTCTTCTTTTCATAAAATGACAGATTCTACAGCAGCAAAATAGCTCTAGTATCATTATGGATAATCCAATAGACAGGAAATAGAAAGAAACGCTACTACATCCATTAAAAAATTAAATAAGACTATTTGCTTCAATTGCTCCCTCATTTATAATATCTATTTAATGACTATCTAGGGAGAAGGAAAATAATATAACAACTCATTGATAGAGAAATAACAGAATTAATAACACTAAGAAAATACATTGACAAAGTATAGATAAAAAAATAATGCTTAAGAAACATTTATCAAGATACTCCTCAGGAACTAATCTCAATTTTTTGTCTACTATCAAAATATTGATTACTATGGAAGGTAGCCAGACTAACAAAACCTATCAGCCTGAATATTTATTTTCACAAACATCTTATAATCGTCAGAACTTAATGAACAGAGATGTATCTTGACATCAATCCCATTTTCTTATCCAATTGGCTGACAAAAGACCATATTGCCTAATTGCTGGATTTACTGTGTACCATATGTAAGTTTGGCTCTATTCATTGCTGAAAACTATGAAACTTAGACGTCATTGACAAGGAATGTAATTTTTCTGGGTTGCTAGGAGCCAAACAAGTTTTAAATTTCTTCAACATCCTCATCCTAAAAGAATGGTAACCAAGAGCCCTATTGCAAAGCACTGAAGAGGAAAGGCAACATTTAGCCTTTAGAAAAGGGAATAATTAAAGTCTTATATGAAGAATTCGTGGAAATGACAAGTCTCTGCTACATTCTCTTTATGAGAAGCACCGTGGGAGCCAAGGGCTTTAGAACCCTGATCTTGGCAGAGTTGAGTGTAGGTGAAAATATCTATGATGTCCTACATAAAGATGAAGGTGATTGGAGCAATTTATCACCAAGAAATAGATTTGAGTTCTCTAAAAAACTTTGGTACATTCATTTCCATATATATGGACATCCAAGTGGTTTACATTTTTCTGCCTGCATTTGAAATCATTCAATATATCTTTACATAGTATGAGAATATTTCTGTATGACAGATTTCTATGTGTAGTATTGCTTAAAATCATTTTCCAAAAATCTTTGGCAAACACCAACAATGACGTATGATAGCTTGTCTATACCTCCTATCATTGGCAGTGGTCCTAATAGAATCTAATTGTCCTAATATTTTTAGATTTAAGTGATCAACAAGAATATATATTATTGTTTTTTATTTTCATTTTATACCTATCACTGAAGTTATTTTTCCTATGTGTATTAATATTTGGGATTTTTCTTGTTAGTGATTTATCTGTTCATGTTTTTTTTACTCAATTGGCTATTTGTCTTTTCTTGATTCATTTGAATATATTTAAACACCAGGAAGATAAACTCTTTATCAGATACATCTTTAACAAATATTTATTTGACACTTTTTTGAACCAGTATGAAATACATTATTTTGAATAATGGAATAAGACAGTGGTTTTCAATAAGGGATGATTCCCTCACCAGGTCTAGTGACATTTGGCAATGTCTGGAAACATGTTTATTCATTACACTGGTAAGTGAGGTGTGCTATAGATATCTAGTTATGGAAGCCAGAGATCCTGCTAAACGAAAACAAGACATTCCCTCTCACAACAATTATTTGACCCAAATTGCCAAGGATGAGAATTCCTGGATTAAAAACTTATACAAAATTTAAGCACAGTGAATGACTGTGGACTATTGGTTGCATAAAAAGGAAAGTAGAGATATAGAGGGAAGACAATAAAAATCCTGTAAAGCAAATGTATTACAGTTTCAGTTTGAATTATATTTTTAACTGGCCTCAGATATTTTGTTTTAATTGTGTTTTTGTCTATTCCTATGTCAGTACTTTACTGATGTAATCAGAATAGCTTTATAAGTCATTCTTATATACTGTAAGATAAATTCCCATTAATGATCATGTTTTTTTTTTATTCCAGGGAACTTGTTTTGTATATACACTTTAACATTATTTTCTTTATATTCACACATAATCTAAACCATACAAAATTACGTAAGAATTGACATTTATACATTCAACATGTCAAAATGTATATGTTTATCACCTGAATTCTTAATGACCATATTCTTAGACATGTTTTTATGTTATTACATTTAAATTGTGGTATGCATTTTAATGCAATTTTATAATTTCACTATGTCATTCCTGTATATTACTATCAAATTTTGTGTTTCATTTTTCAAATCACACTGGCTTGCTGTTAAAAGGATTCCGTTTCCTTTTTCTGAAAATAATTTGATATTTTACTTGCCTTCCATGATTGCACAAATAGATACTTTTTAATATGTAACCTTAGGATCTTTCAGGAGAAAATAAAAAATGGAACATGCTATTATTACTAAGTGCTATTATTTTATCATTGTCATCAATACAATCACTCTTCAAATATGAATAACTTCACATAAAAGTTTTCTTGAATCATAATAGGTACTATTATTGCTTTGCAGTGATCTGTCTGTTCTGGAATATAGCTGATAATTATCACTCTGAAGTAAAATGTCGTTTCTTCATGCATTATCTCCTTTGAAACCCTTTGGTGTGACAGAACACAGTAAAATTATATTACTGTGCTGATACTGAAATCATGACATTTCTGAAATGTACAAAAAATACATTTTTTTACTTCGTTAGCCTCAAAGGTATTGTCTTTAGGTAGTGATTTTTTGTTGCAATTTACTAGTAAATCTGTTAATATAAGAAATAACTGCCAGAAAATAATGGTCCCAAAACAGTTTATATATTTTATCACTTATAGGACTTTTTACTGATGTTCAGTAATATTATTATATTAATTTAAATATCAGTGCAAATGATCTTGTTTGGCTAACGGAGCTGTCAAGAATTCGATCTAACTCAATAATTCATTGACAATACAAGTTTTTGCAACACATTTATTCTATACATATGTATTCAGTTTACACATAGGTAAAATGAGGGAGTTAATCAGGTTTCTTTTGATTCTCTAATCATATTATCTATGTCTTAGTTGGGTTGACAAGTCACAATACAAGAATTAAATAAAAGAATTGATTAGATTATAAAGAATGAAACAAGTAATGTAATTCAGGTAGTCCAAGCGAAATTTGAAAGAAAATGCCAACTAACAGAACCATGTTCTGACAGATCAAACAGAAAGATTTGAATGTTCATTTGCCATTTAGGAAAATATAAAAATAAACACTGTATATACATTATCAGATAGAAGTTCTAGCATTAAATATATCAAAATAAGTATGTTTCTTAACAAAAAATATTAAAAAATAATAATTAATGAACATATAACTAATAGATATTGAATACTTATGTGCCTGATGCTCTAAGTGTTCTCAAATAACTCTTAAAATAATATGGGGTAGGTGATATTATCATGTTCATATGACAGTTAAGCAATCTGCCATTTAGAGTAATGAGAAAACAATTCATGTGGCCAGACTCCATCTGCCTCCAACTTATACAAATTAAAAAAAAAATTCAACTCTGCTTACCTCAGTGATAACCTTGCTACCTAGTAATATTCATGGTTAAAGTCTGCTACACAGAATGCTATAGGCTTTACATGCATTTTTATTTGTCCTCAAACCAAACCTGCAAGGTATGTGTTGTTATCCCTATTACATGGATATGTAGAGTAAATTTCTGACAGAATCATCACTTCTTCATGTTCATGGAATTAATAATTAACAGATCAATACTCAAACTCAGGGTTTTATGACATCATTGTTTCTTATCATTTGTCAAATATTTTTTTCAATACAAAAGGATTTATGTAGCAGGACATAAAGATGAACATAAACCGGAAGAATATAAAAGCTAATTATTACTTTGAGTTTTATAATAACATTCTGATTTATAAATTACAATAAATATTATCTACTTCAGAGCAATGTTGAAATGCATAAGTGAGAAAATGTGTATAAAATATTTAAATCTTTGAGGGCATAGAATAAGTGCTAAATAAATATTGGCTTTTATTATCATAAGTATCCATGAGACTAAAGAACCAAGTAGCATTATAGAAAAAAAATCCACAAACATTACACATACAAACATACACACAAACACACACACACTAGTTCATGGAGATAATAATTGATCACTCGCACACTGGGAACAATAAATAAGATAACAGAAATATGAAAAGGTCTATCAGAGTGATGGGATACAGCAGGTACATGAAAAATAAAGCTGAATTAAACCCAGGATATATTCATCAATTCAGATAGATGATAGATTAGACAGATAGATGCTAGCTAGATAGGTAGATAGGTAGATAGATAGATAATAGATACATAGATACATAGATGTGGAAGATAGGTACATATGTGTGTGTGTGTATATATAATGCATATATACATACATATATGTATATACTTATGCCTCCCTAACACTCAAGCAACCAATTCTTTCACTATTCAAAAATTGGTCTTTTTATTCAAGGAAAGGCTTAACGGGGTGTATAAGTAATATAAGTTAAGGAAACAAGAAAAGAAACATTCAGAATAAAAAAGATCCTTAAAAGAAAATAAATATGGATGTGAAAACTAAAGGATAACCAGTCTATTCATAACTGTACAGAAATAATAAGACTTTCTAATTCTTGATAGGGAATTATTTAAGCTACAAATACAAAACAAAGGAAATATTTCCATCAGTGCTGGAGTAACCCTGAATAATTTACAGCTGCCTTTCTTTAGGGAAGCAAGTAATTATTTTCTAACCTATCAGCATAGATTATCAGGTTTGTGCACTTACATAAAACTGCTTTATTGTATTTATTATTATGATTTGTGATTTTGTTGCTATTCAGGGACTTTGTTACGAATTAAATGGCTTACAGAAGGTCATTCTTTAGAGACTTCAGAATTTTGAGTGAAAAAAAAAATCTCTTCCAAGTTGTTAACATGAATTCCTGGCAATGACTTTTGTGCTATAAAACTATATTTGTTATCACAGTTCCATAATAGTAAATACAAATATTAAATATGTTTTTATCTTTACAGAGTTTATAATATTTTTCAGAATAAAAATGTAGTAATATATTGGTTAATGTCAGTAAAAATAGGCAAGCTATTTTTATTTTAAAGACAGAATATCCTAGTATCTTTTTCCATTTGGTTAATTTTAAATAAAGTCATAGGACTTGTTCACTAAGTGTGGAACATGGCTCTAAAACAGAATTTAAAGTTTTATTTGATAATATCCTATTTCTCTGGAAGACTAATATTTAGGAAGTATATATATATATAATCCATAAATATAAGCTTAATTTTACTAGCATCAGCATAACAGGATTTGAGAGCCATGGCTTCTCTATTTGATGAATAAAAATCATATAATCCATTGATCTTTATATGTATTTTAGGAACAGTTTCATCTAAAAAGTGCACATGCATTTTATTGTAATTTCATGAGTTCACAGAGTGCATTGA
The DNA here is from genome assembly GCF_000001405.40 of Homo sapiens. Lineage (NCBI taxonomy): Eukaryota > Metazoa > Chordata > Mammalia > Primates > Hominidae > Homo > Homo sapiens. The sequence goes on along the minus strand of NC_000004.12, from coordinate 131,504,829 downwards.
CTCTGATGGCTGAATTTTGAATTGAACTCTCAATTTGAAGTCTTTTTAATCCCTAATGAATTTCATAGTACCATCACCATCAATCAGAACTGTTTCCTTTTATTGTTACTTACGTTCAAGTTATCATAAAATCACAATGAGTTGGCAAAGCAGATAATGTGAAACATTCTGTGATTGAAAGCCATAATAGTCTAATCACTAGTTTGTGTAAGTATGGTACCCTCGGTTGTGTTTCTTAACCATTTATCATTTTTAAAATTTAGAAAATACTTTCAATCACTTGCCATACATAGCTCTCTGAACCACAAAGTTGAATCAAGCAATATATCATGCAGAAGACAGAATAAAAACTAACAAAGTGTCAAGATTCTTTTACAATTTGTTTAGTCACAAATTTATGCCCTTTTTGACTCTTTCTTTTCTTATTAAAAGAGAGATTTAATTTTAACTCCAAAATGTATTTCAGTAATATCCAACACAATTTTTTTTTTCAGTCAGAAACCTGTTCTTAACCGGCTCAAAAAGCAAGCTCCTCTATAGTCTTATCTCTAAAATTCTTCTTATTAGTTTCTAGATACACACAGTATTACCAAAATTTATCCAGCTCATTCTAGAAAAAAAGCAGTCAGCACTTTTCTAAATGTTTTAGCTGGAAAATAGTTTCATGGTTTATTAAAACTTCATATCAAAAAGACATCTTTTGAAAAGACAAATTTGGGAAATACGTAAAACTACATTAGGCTCAACAGAGGAAGAATCCTCAGAGCCTCTGTGTTTCTTATGTGCATCATGAATCTCTGGAAGTGTATAAAACGCAGATGTTCCTCATTTTGCTTGAATTTCCAATTTTCAAAAATTATTTTCATAAAGCATCTTTATAAAAATATGTTCTGCAGATGGAAATAGGGGGAGAGAGTTTTTTGGAAAAGATGGTAGAGAGCGAGAATATCTAAAGACCAAAAAAAATCATTTTTGTGCTTAATACTTCCATTTAAAGAATATCTACAAAAATATCTATTCCTTTCTCCTATTTTCTTCATTCCAGAGACAGAAGCACTTTGGGAAGCCAAGGCGGGTGGATCATGAGGTCAGAAGTTTGAGACCAGCCTGGCCAAGGTGGTGATACACCATCTCTACTAAAAATACAAAAATTAGTTGGGCATGGTGGCGGGTGCCTGTAATCCCAGCTACTCGGGAGGCTTCGGCAGGAGAATCGCTTGAACCCAGACGGCGAAGGTTGCAGTGAGCCGAGATCGTGCCACAGCACTCCAGCCTGGGCGACAGAGCAAGACTTCGTCTCAAAAAAAAAAAAGGAGCTTGACCAAGTTTGTCGATTTACAACATTACACCACGGTGTGAGTGGTTTCTGCACCCAGGTGCCTCTCTTATTTCCCACAGAGGCAAACCCTAATCCAGTGTCCTGAAGAGCTCTATTTGCAGTGTGAAACCTGCCCATACAACTCAGAATCTTAGGTTCTCTGCCGTATACAACCCTTTAGAGACCAGTGGGATCAAAAGAGAGAAGAATTTTTAGGGCATGCAATCTGGAGTGAATATCTGAATTACTGGTAAGTGATTATCTGCTCTGCCTGTTACAGAACGTGGTAAATTCTGCTCTTCACTTTTCACAGCAATGTTACACTTATTTAAGGGTGTTAGTCAGTAGGCCTGGCCTAGGTCTAATACAAATAGTAAGAGCTGGAGCAAGAGAAAAGAAAAAAAAAAAAACACACTTGCAGATGATGATATGAGCTAAAATTTGAACATTTTGTTTAAGATTTTCATGGTGGTGATTTCTTGCTGCACTTAATTTTTTGTTTATATATTTTTGTTTGGGATGTGTAATCAAGTTTAATTGTATTGTATTTATTATAGGAAGATGCTGCAACCCAATTAGATAGATTCTCTTATCTTAACTTCTAAAAATATATAGCTGCAATCTGGTACAATATAACCTGAACTCAGTACAGAAACCAAGGATGAAGTATATTCTGATGTAAAATTCAAGGAAGGATTAGACAGAGAAGTGAAAATGTATATATTGAATTATCACAATATCTGGATGGATGTGGTGATAACTATGTCTCTCTAAGGTGAAATCTTCTTCCTGTGCACTTGATCTCCTTTCATTCTTGCATTACTAATCATCCTTTCTCTTTTCTCATTTACAAAAACATAAAATTATTATGTCTCTAGAATTAAAAATAAAGTCTCCTCAGTCCACCTTTCTCAACTATTAAACTTTATTTTTAATTTTCTCTTTACAAGGAAAAAAATATTCCAGAATACATTTTATTCTCTGTTTCTAATTCTTCTTGTCTATTTTCTTCTATGTACTTCAGTTTGCTTGTCACCACCCTCACTTACTGAATCTTCTTGTAAATTAATCAATGATCCTATCGATGTTTCTTTTCTTTCCTGATATATCAGCATGAATTACTAAAGCAGAATATGCTCACCTACTTGAAATACTTTTTTTAACTTAGATCTCAGAACCTATTTTTTTCTGATTTTTCTTTTACATCACTAGTAGTCTTTTCTTACTAGTTGTTCTAGCATTTTTTTTTTTTTTTTTTGCGATGGAGTCTCACTCTGTCACCCAGGCTGGAGTTCAGTGGCATGATCTCAGCTCACTGTAACCTCTGCCTCCCTAGTTCAAGCGATTCTCCTGTCTCAGCCTCTTGAGTAGCTGGGATTTCAGGCGCCCACCACCGTGCCCAGCTAATTTTTGTATTTTTAATAGAGACAGAGTTTCACCATGTTGGCCAGCTGGTCTTGAACTCCTGACCTCAGGTGATCCACCTGCCTCGGCCTCCCAAAGTGCTGGGATTACAGGTGTGAGCCACCGTGCCCGACCTCTTCCAGTATTTCTAAGCATTGGAGAGTCACAGCACTAAATCCTCACACCTCTTGTCCATCATTTGCTAACTAAGTGTGTTCTAAACCAGTCTTATGACTTTTAAACACCACCTATAAACTGACAAAGTATTACTTCCAATGAAGTATTTTTCCTTGTATATCCACCATGTAAATTTCTTGTCTGATAATTCCTAAATCTGTCTCATATCCGAGTCTGGTTCTAATGGTTGCTTTTTGTATCTTCAGACAAATTATTTTCCTGAATTTAACTGTGCCTCGTAATTTTTGTTGTTGTTGAAACTAGACACAATGTGTCAGATGATAGAAAATGAGGTATATGGCCCTTTAATATGAGGTTCATGTTAATCTGGCTAGTAGTTGGGAAGTGTTTAATTTTTGCTATAGCTCTAAGGGCTAGAGCTAGTATTCTTGTCCCCTCCCCACTTTGTTCTCTTTTGGCTTCCTGAAGCATTCCCCCTTAAATAGAATCTGTGCACTACAATTCTTTTAGCTGTAATCCACTGTCATTATACTGAATACTAGAGTTCTGTTAATATTATGGTAAGGTATCAGGGAGGTGACACATTCTGTAGTTCAATAATTAGGTCTTTTAGTTGGCCTGTGTCCCTGGCCTGTGACCTTTATAACCATTTCTTAGCATTCCCCTTCTCCTCAGGTGAGACAGGAAAGGCACAGGGAGCTGGTGTGGAATAAATTCCCTTCCCTCAGGTGGAATGAGTCTCTGGTAAAGCATTTTTCCCTAAAGAGTAAGCCTTTTTTATGGAGAACATTCTGGGCATGTACCATTATGGTACTTTTCTTCTCTCTCTGCCCAAACCACTGGGAGATATTTCTTGTCTCTTTCAGTGAGAAACTGTGTGTTCCTGGAGGTAAACTCATCAAATTCTGTTGACCCATGTAAGATTTTAACCCCGAATTTCTCTTTCTCACCATAGGCCACACAAGCCTCCATTAATTCATCAAAATCACCATTTAAATGTTTCTTTCAATGTTTGGCTTTGTTGGTTTCCATTCCATGTAATCACATCTTGGCTATAACTTTCTGGATTCATCTGTCTGTCCAGATGTTGGGGTGACAGTTTGCCCTGTGATCTCAATTCTCTGATAAAACCAATAAGATTATTGATTTTCAGTTTGTTTGGCTTTTTCCTGTTGTACGGCTAGAGTGACAGCCTCCAAGCTGAGGAGGAGCTAAAACTAGAAGTGGTATATGAAAAATTTATTCAACATCTCCATTTAAATTCTACATGACTTCTCAAATTGAATATATATAAACAAAGACTGATCTCTACCCACTATCTTTCTTTCTCTACTGCTTTTAGTCTCATAAATAAATGGCAACTCCATCCTTATATATACTCATACATTAAATCTTGGAGTCATTTCATAAATCTTTCTGTCATAACACATATACATGGTATTAGAAACCCTTGTTGATTTTATTACCTCCTTTACTACCTTCATCACCACCGAGTCTAAGGATGCATCGTGACAACACGGATTATTGCAAAGAGCCTCCAAATGGGCCTATCTGCTTCTGATACAGGAAGGGGCAGGGAAGTGCTGGGTAGAGAAGGGTGGGGTCCCTGGCGAGGGATCCACCCTCGGGCTTGTGCCCACGGACCTAAGTGAGAACAGGCATTTATGTTTTCACACCCAAATGCTGCATTTTCCAAGGCCACTCTGGCCCCCCACCCCCCACCCCCCCATCCAGTGCCCATAAAAACCTGAGATGTAGCAAGCACACACAAAACCAGCTGGACGTTGAGAGGAGCAGAACACATCGAAAGACATCAACAGGCAATTGACGGCGGAGCTATGCAGACGCTGAGGGAAATTCAGCTGGAGGCGGTCAGAAGAGAGTCTGGTCACAAGGTGGCCTGACTCCAGGGAAAGACCACCTTCCCACTCCACCCCTTTCTGGCTCCCTAGCCATCTCATTGGGAGCCACCTCCACTACCTAATGAAATCTTGCACCCATACTCCAGGGCCACATGTGATCGACTTTTCCAGCATACTAGGGCAAGAACCCAGGATACAGAAAGCCCTCTGTCCTTGCGATAAGGCAGAGGGTCTTATTGAGCCAACACAAGTAGGCTGCAGACAGCAAAGCTGAAAGAACACGCTGTAACACATGCCCACTGGGGCCTCAGGAGCTGTAAACACTCAACCCTAGATGCTGCCGAGGGGTCGGAGCCCAAAAACGCTTCCCATGACCTGCCCATCTGCATGCTCCCCCTAGGAGTTTGAGCAGCAGGGCAGTGAAGCAGTGAGTCACAACCCTGTCCCATGCCCTGGGAGGGCGATAAGGGTGTGTACTCCAAGAATAGCACAGATGACATATGGTTGGAATGGAGTGTCATGATTGTATGATAGAAGTAGTGGGTAGATATTTACATAATACTGGGCTACCCACTACTTCTGTCATATAATCATGACACTCCATTCCAGCCATATGTCATCTGTGCTATTCTTGGAGTACACACTCATGCACACAACTCCTTTGAGGCCTTTCTATTTATTTGTCTCTATGTCCTATATTGCCTCAGATGCTTGTATTCTTGGCTCTTACACTGTATATAAATAATAATGTCTCCCTGAGACATTCTTTGACCAAATATTTAAAACCACAGCCCTTTGGAAATCCGAGGTGGGTGGATCATCTGAGGTCAGGAGTTGGAGACAAGCCAGGCCAACATTGTGAAACCCCATCTGTACTAAAAATACAACAATTAGCCAGGCATGGTGGTGTGCAGCTGTAATCCCAGCTACTCGGGAGGCCAAGGCAGGAGAATCGCCTGAACCGGCGGGGGACGGAGGTTGCAGTGAGTCAAGATTGTGCCACTGCACTCCAGCCTGGGCAACAGAGAGACATTATGTCTCAAAAAAATAAAAAATAAAAAAAGTAAAACCACAGACCCTTCAGCTTTATTTTTGCTCACAGCACCTGTCACAGTCTTGAATTGTATGTGTTTATTGTTGTATTGTCTGTCTCCACACAATTGAATGTAAGAATCCTAAAAGCGGTTATATTTCCCTATTTTGTAAACAAATACATTGACAATACCTTGAAAACTGAGATGAAGGTAGAACTTAATATATATTTATTTAATAAATAATTAAATTGTACTTTTACTCAAAGAAGAACATTCAGACACTATAAAATTCTAGCTGTATTCTATTTGTTCTAGAATGATAAAGGCATACAGATCCTTTCAGTTATATTTATAGATTTTTTAATATTAAAAAAATCTTGTTAAATTTAGTGTGAATTTCTGATCTTATATGTTATTAAAGGAGAATAGAATAATGATGAATAAAGCCTAAATGGAATGAAAACATCATTTATTGTTTTCTGTATTTTCTTTTTAATCAGGAGTATGTTTTTAACAACAAATATTTTCACAAGTGGCCCCACTTACTAGCTAGTATTTTCATGTATTCTAAAAGTTGTATTATAAATTGAGTAAATACATTTATGGTAAAGGATACAAACTTTCTGGTAAATCTATACTGTTCTGCTTTTTTAACACAACTTCAAAATAATGAATGCTTGCCTTTCTATCATGTTTTTCTCAATTTCACTATTTCTTACAACTTCTTAGGTGGATTGTCACATCCATAGAATTTATACTCAGGCGTTTAATCACATACTTAAGTTAAATCTCAGACTACTTAGTAATTAAAACTTTTCTTACTTAGAAGCTGCATTTCTAATATATAATCACTTTTAAATTAAATTTATTATTAATTAATCATTTTTCTAATCGTAGAGATCATTATTGTAATAATGTTTCTTTTCCTAATTTTCATAATCATGTTACAAGTGGCAGAAAATGTCACAGCTTTTTAGAGGTTTGGGAGTGACACAGGTCTTACTCCTGTTCTTTTCACCTAATGGAAAGCATTAAAACATGCAAACACATTCTCATAGTCTTACGTATCTCCACAGGTCTTTCTCATAAATATGGAACGGTGCTTCCTTTTTCATCTATAATTGAAAGTAAGACCCTAAAGAATATGAAGTGCACAAAACGTGGAGTAGTAAAAAGAATTCAGGCTATTGTTCAAAGTAGACCTGAGTAAAAGTCAATTACTAGTCATATGACCTAGAACAATTTCAATAATCCCTCTGAATATTGTTTTCACTGTGTAAATTAGAAAAATGGCAAGGCTGTTTTGCAAATTAATACAAGAGTTAACCAAGAATTCATGTGAGATTCATATTTTACTCTCAAGAGCATAATGGTTAAACCTCAAGCCTCTGGAGCTACTCAGTCGGGGTTAAATTTTTGCTTGATAGTTCTTTTTTTTTAAATCTAGAGTTTCAAAAGTGAGGCAAAAAAGGTGTACTTTGTTTAGAAATGAAAGGTAAGTAAACATTGGGGACAGAATGAATTGTTACAATATCTATCTTACAAATGTTTCAGACTGATTTTAAAAAGGAGAATTTAAAAGAATCAATAATATTTTTTAAAATCACTAGAAAACAATGCAGAAATTTAAAAAAAAAAGCAGGAGACTTCTCAATATAGGATTACATGGAGGCCCACACCAGTTAAACAATAAAACAAATCTACACCTAGATGTTTTATAGAGATACTGCAGAACCTCAAATACAGAGAACATTTTAGGAGATATCAGAGAGAAAAATATGAATTAATGATTAAAATATTATATATCTAAATTACCAATAAACCTAGTTTATCTATAAGAATGGCTGAGAATGAGTCTAAGGATAGTTTCAACAGATTCAAAATCTGGGATTTTATTATTCTGAGGCTTTCAAATAATACATGGAGAAAATATATTACAACAGAAAAGAAAATGTACTCTGTATATTACAATAAAATGAATTCACAGTTGTTAAGGCATGTTACTTATAAACTTGTTGCAGGAAGTCAGGGACTCTGAATGTAGGGATTGGCTGAAGCTATGGCAGAAGAACATAAATTGTGAAAATTTCATGGACATTTATCAGTTTCCAAAATTAATACTTTTATAATTTCTTACATCTGTCTTTACTGAAATCTCTGAACATAAGTTGTGAAGATTTCATGGACATTTATCACTTCCCCAATCAATACTCTTATAATTTCCTATGCCTGTCTTTACTTTAATCTCTTAATCCCGTCATCTTCATGAGATGAGGATGTATGTTGCCTCAGGACCCTGTGATGATTGCATTAACTGTACAAATTGTTTGTAAAATGTGTGAACAATATGAAATCAGGGCACCCTAAAAAAGAACAGAACAGCAATCTTCAGGGAACAAGGGAAGATAACCTTAAGGTCTGACTTCCTGTGGGGTCGGGCAGAATAGAGTCATATTTTTCTTCTTGCAGAAAGTAAATAGGAGAAATATCGCTGAATTGTTTTCCCAGCAAGGAATGACCCTGGGGAAGGAATGCATTCCCAGGCCTATGGATGACCACTCTGGGAGTGTCTGCCTTATGCAGTTGAAGATAAGGGATGAAATATGCCCTGGTCTCCTGCAGTGCCCTCAGGCTTACCAGGATTGGGAAATTCCAGCCTGGTGAATTCTAGTCAAACCCGTTGTCTGCTCTCGAACTCTGTTTCCTGTTAAGATGTTTATCAAGACAATACGTGCCCAGCAGGACATGGAACCTCATCCGTAATTCTAATTTCACCCTGGCCTTGTGATCTTTCTCTGCCCTTCTGCCCTTGTGATCTTTTATTGCCCTTTGATGCATGTGACCTTTGTGACTTACTCCCTGTTCATACCCCCCTCCCCTTTTGAAATCCCTAATAAAAACTTGCTGGTTTTGCAGCTCAAGGGGCATCATGGAACCTGCCGATATGTGATGTCACTCCCGGAGGCCCAGCTGTAAAATTTCTCTCTTTGTACTCTTTTTCTTTATTTCTCAGACTGGCTGACACTTAGGGAAAATAGAAAACAACCTACGTTGAAATATTGGGGGCTGGTTCCCCCGATATAAACTGACTATTTAATTTAAATTATCATTAACTACAAAAATAAATATTAAATGATTTGTTTTGAAATTTAGATGAAATTAAATGTTAGCTAATGTAGTATAGAATATGTAACACTGGAGGTGTGAATATTAGAGTTTAAGCATTCTAAACACATTGTCCTACTCTGGAAGGGGATAGAAAAATCAATTATACTTAAACACCTTGATATAGTTTGGTGTATGCCCACCCAAATCTCATCTTGGGTTGTAATCCTCATAATCCCCATGTGTCTAGGGAGAGACCTGGTGGGAGGCGATTGGATCATGGAGGAGTTTTCCCCCATGTTGTTCTAGTCATAGTGAGTGATTTCTCATGAGATCTGCTGGATATATAAGGGGTTATTTCCCCTTTACTCCTCACTTTTCTCTCTCCTGCCACCATGTGAAGAACATCCCTGCTTCCCCTTCACCTTCTGTCACAATTGTAAGTTTCCTGAGGCTCACCCCATGCCATGTGGAACTGTGAGTCCATTAAGATTTTTTCCTCTATAAATTACCTAGTCTTGGGTATTTCTTTATTGCATTCTGAGGACAGACTAATACAGTGCTTGGTACTGCAGAGAGTGGGGTACTGCTGTAAAGATACCCAAAAATGTGGAAGTGACTTTGGAACTGTATGACGGGCAAGGGTTGAAACACAGTTTGGAGGGCTCAGAAGAAGACAGGAAGATGTGGGAAAGTTTAAAACTTCCTAGAGACTTGTTGAATTGCATTGATCAAAATGGTGATAGTGATATGGACAATAAAGTCCAGGCTCAGGTTGTCTCAGAAAGGGATGAGAAACTTGTTGGAAACTGGAATAAAGGTGACTCACTATACTTTAGCAAAGAGACTGGTGCCATTTTCCCCCTGCCCTAGAGATCTGTGGAAATTTGAACTTGAGAGAGATGATTTAAGGTATCTGGCAGAAGAAATTTCTAAGCAGCAAATCATTAAAGAGGTGGCCTGGTTGATTTTGAAAGTCTTCAATTTTATGCATTCACAAAGAGATGGTTTGAAATTAGAACATATGTTTAAAAGGAAAGCAAAGGCTGGGTGTGGTGGCTCATGCCAGTAATCCTGGCATTTTGGGAGGCCAAGGCAGGGGAATCACCTGAGGTCAGGGTTCAAAACCAGCCTGGCCGACATGGTGAAACCCTGTCCCTATTAAAAATACAAAAATTAACGGGGCATGGTGGCACACATTTGTAATCACAGCTGCTCAGGAGGCCGAGGAAGGAGAATTGCTTGAACGCAGGAGGTGGAGGTTGCAGTAAGCCGAGATTGCGCCATGGCACTCCAGCTTGGGTGACAGAGCAAGACCCCATCTCAAACAAACAAACAAAAGAAACAAAGGGAAGAGGAGAATAAGAGTTTGAAATATTTGCAGCCTGGGAATTTAATAGAAAAGAAAAACCCATTTTCTGGGGAGAAATTCAGGCCAGCTACAGAAATTTGCATAAGTAACAAAGAGCCAAATGTTAACTGACAAGACAATAGGAAAAAATGTCTCCAGGGCATGTCAGAGGTCTTCACAGCAGCACCCCCCAACACAGGCCCAGAGGCCTAGGAGAAAAAAATGGTTTCCTGGGCCAGGCCCAGGGCCTTATTGCTTTTGTGAGTCAATTAAGCTTTTTTCCTTTATAAATTACCCAGTCTTGGGTATTTCTTTATAGAAATGTGAGAACAGACTAATACGTATCTTAAGTCAACTATAGTTGAGAAAAATAAATGAAATAATTTAAACAATAGAATGTCAATTTTAAAGTCACATTAGAAGAAAAAAAGAAATTAAGAAATATGACCATTTAAAGAAGGCAAAAACGGTCAGGCACAATGGCTCACGCCTGAAATCCCAGCACTTTGGGAGACCGAGGCAGGCAAATCACCTGAGATTGGGAGTTTGAGACCAGCTTGACAAACATAGAGAAACCCCATATCTACTAAAAATACAAAATTAGCCAGACATGGTGGCACATGCCTATAATCCCAGCTACTCGGGAAGCTGAGGCAGGATAATTGCTTGAACCCAGGAGGTGGAAGTTGTGGTGAGCTGAGATTGCGTTGTTGCACTCCAGCCTGGGCAACAAGAGTGAAACTCCATCTCAAAAAAAAAAAAAAAAAAAAAAAGAAGAGCAGCGAGGTGCATGGAATTCAAATAGTAAAAAAAAAAAAAATGGTAAGTAGCAAATATAAGATTGTAAAAATAATCAAAATACCAATATTAATAATAAATGCAAAATAATTTAATAAAGACAGAAATACCCATAAAGCATTAGAATAATCAGCCAGATAAATTTAAATACATCTAAATTAATTTAGCAAGAAACACACCTAAAATATAAAAATACCTATACATCGAAAAATGAAGATATTTGAAGCATTTTATACATATTTACAGATTTAATTTCAAAATAATACTTTCAGTTAGGTAAATATATTGTCCCTATTTTATAAATAAAGTATTAGGGTAGAAATATTTTACTGACAAATAACAAAGACAAAATTGGTTTACTATACTCTATTAACTATAGAAAAATAGACTTAAAGTAAAAACAATGTTCAGGACATGAATTAATAATAAATGTATGCCATCTATTGACTTTATATTCCAGTTTATATTGTATATTTAGGTTAGTTAATAAAGTTATGTTATATTGCATATTTCTGTGCAATTTACATTAACAAATTTAACCAACAGGAGCTATAATTTCACCAGCAATAATAATAACCATCTATTTTTTGGGGAATGAGCCACATCATACTTAATACCATAAACTGTAAAAATTATTATTTGGCTCCCATCTCATTTGTTTGGTGTCCAATGCCTATAACTATGACACATGCAAGTCATTCCTTTGAAAGAACAAATCAGATGGAATAGAAAGCTTAACAGAAAGAAATGGATTTGAAAATAGAGTCTTCAAAGCCAATGGTTTTATAGAATAGAGGAGAGAAAACAGCATTTTAATGCAAGTGAAACCTTACGCTATGTGCTGATCCAGATAACCAGAATTTCATAAAATCCCAGAGCTGCACAGAGATATCCTGTACTTCTCTGCCTTACTGCTGAAATAGCTAATATTCTACTTTTGTCTTTCAAACAATTTATTTGAAAGTTATCTTGTTCTGGACACTAAGCTCACATTAGTTCTGTTACTTATAACTATATGTGCTCCTTTTCACTGCAGACTTAATGCTGTTCTGTCTTTTCTCAGTACATTTGTGACTCATTATGATTCCTTCTCCTAATTTTCATCAACATACACATAATGTCTTTCTAACTAAATAAAAGAAATTTTAATAGGCTATACATATTTAGAGTTAGAACTACACCTCGCAGAAATCTATTTAACACCAGTACATAACACCAGTACATAACAGTTATGCAGGCAACCACGTACTCTGCCTTGAAATAGAAACACAGAGAAGTTCATATCAATAAAGTCCTCATTCAAATACAATGAAAGTAATTACGTATTTTTAAAGTTTTACATTAATGTTATAAAACTTTTCTAAATGTTTAACTCTATAGGCCTATATATTTATTTCAGAATTTGTCAGAATAACTTAATTACAATTTTATATAACTATAGCAGTTATATATAGGAAAAATTTATATTGTTTATATTTATATATAGAAACAGTTATATATAGGAATAGTTATTTAGGAACAATTTATTAAGGAGGACTTCACATGCCTTTCCTAAATTAAATTTAACAACAATCTTGTGATAGTAACAATTTTTTTGAAGATGTGGATAATCGGAGAAGTTGAGATATTTATAAACATTGCATGTTTTGCAAAATAATACAGTTAGTATGATAATACAGCTAATATAATAATACAGCTAGTAATGATCAAGTTGAAGTCCATGACCTTGTGAATCTTCTTTTATTAAAGGAACCATTTGGTAGATGTTTAAGGAATATAAATTCCATCTCGTTCAAGAGAAAATAAAACTTGGTAGAAGACAGATCCTGAATATATTGTAATCAGTAGAGATCAATATAAATAACATTTTTGTGAGGTTTCACCTGTTAAACCAAAAGCTGGTTATAATTCTTTTTCCCAAAATGAAGATTCTGCAAATCAAGACTCAAGACTTAGCTGCTTCAGTGACATTTAGTGAGAGCTGACAATTAGAAAAGTCTAGCGAATCAAACCAACACATCACCAAGTTATCTTTATAGATTCACTTAGAAGGTATTTTCTGGAGTACTTGTATTTAAGCTGGATCTAAATTTATACTGAACTCTTCAACATCAAGTTACATAATAAATTATCATGTAAAAAATGAAGAATAGCTTTGTAAGATACATTTTCCATAAAGTAAGTATATTCAGGGTACCATGTGACTAAGAACAAGTATATTTTGCCAGTGCAGTGAATTCAGAAATTTATTTTTTTAACTTGCAGCAAAGATTGCATTTTTAGATATTTTAGATGTACAGAAATATACAAAGGTAATAGAAAAAAACATTGACCTCAGTAATTGCAAACACCAGCAAAACACTGAAATTCCCTTGTGAATTATCTCCAAATTATAACCTCTCTCCTTATGTCTATAATTAGTAATCATCTTTAATATAGTGTTAACTATCCATATTAAATTACATTTATACTTCATGCTTATATTTATACTATAAATTTCTCCTAATGACATATTTCTTGCATATTTTTAAAATTTTATAATTGGTTTATACTCTAAGTATTCTGTAAATCCAAAATTCATTACACCATGTTTATAAAATTAATTCCAGTCATACGTGAAGTTGTTATTTTTATTATTTAATGGGTAATATATAAAAATAAATTTATAATGCACGTATGCATGTTATAATTAATAGTAATATTAACAAAATTATGATTATAGTACCCAACTAAAGAAATGAAATATTACTAGAACTATTAAAGTTCCTTGTATTTTTCATGGATTCCGTCTTTTTGATCCTCTCAGAGACAAAGCCCATACTGAATTATTTTTCTCATAGGCTTTTTCTCATTCTCTCTCTTTTCCACTATCTTTCTTTCTCTTCATTTTTCTACTTCCATAATAAGAATTACCTACATATGTAATTGCATACACGGGTACCAAATATGCATGTATCTTTAAACAAACATATTTGATTTTCTGGCTTATTTTTGAACATTCAAACATTACAGCATAAACAACCTGTTACTAATTAACATTTTATAAATTAATTTGTGTTTTTATGTGTGAAGCTCATTTATTATCACTGTAGAAATATAAGTCATTGTGTACATATACCAATGTTCATTCATTCATTTCTTATTGATATATATTTTAGTGTTTTTTCTTTTTTTTATGATTAACAACAAGGCAACATTTAGCCTCACTTTTTTCAGGGAATACGAAGTGAATAATCTTCTACCTTTTATTTCCTTCAAGTACAACTGGAAAACCCTGGGCGTTATATATAAAACAGACTCTAAAATGTGGAGAGAAGAAAGCAAACTGGCTAGGTGCTTTGGAAATCAAGGAATGAAATAATGGTGAAATATTTGGGTTTGCTTTTGCCTTTTAATCATAGACTTGGAGCTAAAATATCAGGCAACCTAGAAAAGCCAAGAGGCCCTAACAGCCCCTCCACCCCCCGACACACATAAAACAAACAAAAAGCCACCCTAAAAAGCCAGTTATCTCTATCTTATGGAGCAAGATAGTAGCATCCTAGCAAGACAAAATATTTTGAAACAACTACTCTACTACAAGTATATTCCACACACACAAAAAAATCTTGTAATGAGTGACACATCTGCTGGGATAAAGCCCTAGAATACAGAACAGATAGCTGAGACTTTCATACCTGTCAGGCACTAACAAAGGCCCAGTCCTGCATGGGGTCAATGGAAACAACATGGTAAAAGGCTCATATTTCCAATCCCACTTCACAATAATGAGGCACCTCTCTCCCAAAATACTGGAGTAGATCAAAAAGGCCTACTGGGGAAATCGGGTCTTTCACTAACCTCCCTAACTCTTACAGCCTTTGCAGTGGCCACATGGGGTGTAGTAAAGAGGCACTTCTAACCATCCCAACCAAGGTGTATCAGTGGAGGCCAAACTGGGAGCCCTAAATCCCACCGTAGCTCAGCAGTAGTCATAAATATCCTTCTCAGATGTCAACACAGGCTGAGGGCAGAATGTAAACATCTACCCCCACTTAGCAATAAGGAGCCTGTGTATTCCCTTCCCCTGTTATTGCTGTGTCAGAGAAAGTCAGCTAAAGCAGTAGGTTTAACGAAGATACAGACCCTCATACCACATTAGACAAAACGTCAGCCGTCAGTTGAAAATTACTTGCTATACAAACATCCAGAAAAATCTCAGCTTGAATGAAAAAAGACATTGACTATTTGCCAACACCTAAATAAAAGACATGTCAGAGTTATCAAAGATAGCAGTAGTCACAATAATGTTTCAATAAGCATATTTATAAACACAAATGAAATATATGAAAAAAACAGATTTTAAATGAAGAATTGGAAGAGGTATAGAACCACATAAAAACTTTAGCTCTAAAAAATGTAATAACTAATCTACAATAAAACTCAATGGAATGGCTCAACAGCAGAATGAAAAAGACAAAAGAAAGTTACCTGGAACACAGAATAGTGCAAATTCCCCACAAATTACCCCAAATCAAAAACAGAGATAAAATAGACTGAAGAAAACCCTCAGGGACAGGGGAAATTATAACAAAAATTTGAACATTTGTGGCATCAGAGTTAAAGAAACAAGGAGAAAGAACAGGGGAGCTGAAAATAAATTCCAAGAGATTATTGCTGAAAACCCCCCAAACTTGGTAAAAGAAAACTACAGTCAAGAAGCTGAGTGAATCAAAACCACAATAAATCTAAACAAATCTATGCTAAGACATAGTCAAGCTTTTGAAAGACGAAAAAAAAAATGCTTTTGACCACAGTAAGATAAAAGCAACAAATTACATATAGGGAAAAACAGTTCAGATTATGGTGAATTTCTCATCAGAAAACAACAGGCCAAAGGAAGTGACGTAACAGTTTTTCTCAAGTGCTAAAAGAAAAGAACAGTCAACTACTTAAAAGAATGGTTAAAGGAAGTTCTCTAAACAGAAAAAGTAACTGTTATAAGGGACCTTGGAACATACAAGGAAGAATGAACAAAGAGAAAGAGTAAAAATATAAATGAAGACATCATATTTTCCTCCTTTTCTCAGTCTTCTAAATTATGTTTGACAGTTCCAGCAAACATTATAACACTGTCTGATGTGCTTCTGAATGTATGTGGAATATAGTTTTCACAATTATTTAATAGAGAAAAACAATAGGATATAAAGTGTAAGGTCTCTATATTTCATTCAAATTGGTAAAATGCCAACACGAGTAGACTGCAATGTTACACATGTATAAATTAATACCTAGAGAAAACACTAAAATACCTATATAGAGATATACTGTTATCTCGTGGTACCTATGAGAGATTGGTTCTGGGACTTCCTGGATACCAAAATCTGTTGGAAGCACAAATTCCTTATAAAGTGGTAGAGTGTTTGCAGATAACCAACATAAATTTCTTCCATGTATTTTAAGTCATCACCAGATTGCTTATAATACCAAATACAATGAAAAGCTAGGTAGACAGTTCATATTTGTATTATAATGTGTTTTTTATTTGTATTATTTTATTGTTGTATTGTCATTTTATTGTTTTCCTTTATTTATTTATTTTTTTTGAGATGGAGTCTTGCTTTGTCGCCCACACTGGAGTGCAATGGCACCATTTCTGCTCATTGCCACCTCTGCCTCCTGGGCTCAAGCTATTCTCCTGTCTCAGCCCCCCAAGTAGCTGGGATTACAGCCACCTGCTACTACGCCAAGCTAATTTTTGTATTTTTAGTAAAGATGGGGTTTCACCATGTTGGCCAGCCTGGTCTCGAACTCCTGACCTCAGGTGATTCACCTGCCTCAGCCACCCAAAGGGCTGGGATTACAGGCATGAGCCACTGCACCCAGCCCCATTTTATTGTTGTCTAAAATATTTTCTGAGGTTGGTTGAATCCATGGATGCAGAACCACTGATAGAGGGCTGATTGCACTTTGTATGTATTAATTTGATTAATGTGTTACATTAACCAAAAGAAAGCTAAACAGGCTATATTAATGTCAGGTAAAGTAGATTTCAGAGCATAGAAAATGACCAGTCTAAAAGGGACACTAGATAAGGTCGTAAAAGGGTCATTCCACACACAGGACCTCAGTCCTAATGTTTATGCACCAAACAACAGACATGTAAAGTATATCAAGCAAACACTGATAAAAGGAATAGATAAATCCACAATTACTGTTGGAAATTTCAACACCCCTCTCTCAGCAATTGATATAATAATTAGAAAATTAGCAAGAATATAGAAAAAAAATCAATAAAATTATCAACCAACAGGGTTCAATTTACACTTACAGAACTCCTAATCCCACAGTAGCAGATGACACATTTTTTTCAAACACTCACAAAGCATATCTGGATATAGCATATCATAGAGAATATAATCTATGAATGCAACTGAATCAATCCAAACATCAATAATGGAAAGATAAGAAGTCTCCAAACACTTAGAAACTAAACACTTCTTTGAAACATCTATAAATTAAAAATTAATTGAACTAAATAAAAGTGAAAATGTAATACATCAAAATATGTGGGAGGCAGCTAAATCAGTGCTGAAAAGAAATATAAGAGAATTAACATTAGAAAAGGAGGAACTGTCTTCAACAATCATCTAATTTCCACATCAAGAACCAAGAAGAATATCAAAACAAGTCAAGCAGAAGGAAGAAAATAATAGGACCAGAAATAATGCAACAAAAACAAAAACAAAAAAGCAAGTAAGAAAAATGATCGAACAAGTAGCTGGTCCTTGAGGAAAATCAATACAACGGACATATATCTAACAAGAGTGACAAAGACAAAAAGTCAAAACAAATTATCACTATCAGGAAGGAAACAGGGACTATCATACCATCATTGATGAATAATAAGGGAATACTACAAACAAATCGATGTATAAATTTGACAATTAAGATGAACTGGACCAGTTCTTCAAAAAGCATACCCTATCACAATTCACTCAATATGAAATAGATAAAGTTAATAGTCCTGTAACTACTTGAGATATTAAATTTGTAATTTAAAAATTCCTTGCACTAAAAATTCCAAGGCCCAGATAGTTTCAGAAAAGCATTATATAAATATTTTAAGAAGGAATAACTAATTCTACACAATTTCATGCAGAAACAAAAGTAGGGGGACAAATTCAAACTCATTTTATGAAGTTAATATTACCCTACTTCTAAAGCAAGGGATAGAGAGTACAAACAAAAAATCTATAGATCAATGTTCTTCATTAATATAGATGCAAAATTATTATACACAAAGAGTTATAGGCTGGGAGCAGTGGCTCACACTTGTAATCTCAGCACTTTAAGAAGCCGATGCAGGCAAATCACTTGAACTCAGGCATTTGAGACCAGCCTGGGCAACACAGTGAGGCCTCATTTTAGTGAGATCTCTATTTTTTTAATAAAGAAATTAAAATTTATAAAAAAAAAGAAAAAAATGAATTATATACCATCACCAAATGGGGTTTATTCCAGTCATGGAAGGCTAAATCAATATTCAAAATTCAATAAATGTAACCCACTATATTAACACTATAAGAAAGAAAAAAAAATCTCAAGATTATATCAATTGGTATAGAAAAAGCATTTGACAAAATTCAACACTCATTCATAATTTTTGTTAAGAAATGTCAGAAAAATAGAAATAGAGTAGAATTTCCTATATAAAGAGGATTTACAAAAAACAAAGCAAAACAAATAAACTCAATAAAACCTACCAGTCATATACTTAACCATGAAAAAATGAATGCTTTTATTCTACCAGGATTGTGAAAAAATATGTCCAAACTAGTCACTCTTATTTGACATAGTACTGGTAATTCTAGTCAGTGAAATCTGTCAAGAAAGACCAATAGAAGGGATACAAATCAAAAACAAATAAGAAAAACTATTTACAGATGACACAATTTTCTACCTAGAAAATTCCAATAATTCTCTTTTTAAAAAATGTTCCTAGAACTAGCAGGTTTATTTGGAAAGGTGACAGAATACAAGACCAACCTACAAAAATGAATTGCATTTCTATAACTAGCAATGAGCACATTGATGTTAAAATTAAAAATGCAGTATCATTTAAAACTGCTTAAAAAAGATCAAAGCAACAAAATACTTAGGTATAAAACTAAGAATACATTAACAGAACTTATATGCAGAAACTATGCAGTTGGTAATGAAAGAAATAAAATAAGACCTAACCAAATGGAGATAAATAGCCTGTTCATGGATTGGAAGACTCAATATAGCAAAACTATCAATTATCCTCCTACTGGTATGTGGGTTTAACAATTTGTCTATCAAAGTTCCAGCAAGAATTCTTAGTTATTGACAATATTATTCTAAAATGTAGGTGCAAAAACAAAGGAACTAGAATAGCTAAAATAATTTTGAAGCAGAATAATAAAGTGGGATATATTGGTCTACTCAATTTCAAGACTTTTATAGCTACAAAATTAAAAAATGTGTTGTATTGTCAGAGATATAGTGTTTTGATCTCAACCTCTTTATCCCATGGTTAGGTTTTTGAGCTTACTATCATAAAGTTATGCTACAGGTCAAACACACAGCACCCAACACTGTACAGATGAGCTTCATAGTAGTTTGTTAGTAACATATATTCACAGCCCAAAGAAGGAAGACAATGCATATTGTGCAATGCCACAGTGGGTTGTACTCTGGAAAAGAGGGCCTCTGGTTTTCCCCAGATTTCAAGATAAACATTATAATTAACCTTCATTTTAAGTCTTAAACAACAGATAGACATTTAGATAAATGGAACAGAATCGAAAACAGAGAAATAGACCCACACAAATATTCTTAATTGATTTTTGTCAAAGAGGCAAATGGAATTCTATGCAATGGAAGAAAGATAGCCTTTTGAGGAAATCATATGGAAATATTTGGATATCCACAGGCAAAAACAAACAAAGTGATATAGTTGGCCTGTGTCTCCACTCAAATCTCATCTTGAACTGTAGTTTCCATATTCCCCACATGTCGTGGGAGGGACTCGGTGGGAGGTAATTGAATCATGGGGGCAGTTACCTCCACGCAGTTCTCATGACAGTGAGTTCATGACAGTGAGTGAGTTCTCATGAGACCTGGTGGTTTTATGAGGGGCTTTCGCCCCACCTCACTTTACACTTCCCTTTGCTGCTGCTATGTGAAGAAGGACGTGTTTGCTTCCTCTTCTGACATAATTTTTTAAGTTTCTTGAGGCCTCCTCAGCCCTGTGGAACTGTGAGTCAATTAAACCTCTTTCCTTTATAAATTACCCAGTCTTGGTTATGTCTTTATTAGAAGTGTGAGAACAAACTAATACACAAAGTAACTATATCTCACATCTTATACTAGCATTAACCCTAAATAGATCACAGATTTCAATGTAAAATGTAAAAACAAAATTTCAGGGGTTAAAAAAACCCAAATCACCTTTAGGAAGCCACACTAGGTGAACAGTTCTTATTCTTAATACCAAAAGTATAATCGCTAAAAAGAAAAAGTAACAACAAAAAATAAATCCCAAAAGTAAAAACTTTTGCTTTATGAATGACACTGCTAAAATGATGAGAAGACAAATTATAGAATTAATTAAGAATTCCACATGGTTTATCCAGGAATAATAATTCAAGGTAAAGATTAACCTGCTTTGAATTACAATTGCAACAAAGCGTAAGTTGTAACTTATTGATATGCAGATACCTTTCTGTTATGAGTAAGAATTTATCTTATGATACAATTTTTAAAATTATTGATGAATTACTTCGTAAAAGAACTAAAAAGGCCTCAGGTTTGAGAGTACAAGGTGGGAGGATTACTAGAGGCCAGGAATTTGAGACTAGCCTAGGCAACAAAGAAAGATCCTGTCGCTATGAAAAAACAAACAAACAAACAGAAAAAAAAAATTAAATTAGCTGAGCATGGTAGAACATGACTGTAGTCCTACCTACTCGAGAGGCTGAGGCAGGAGGATCCCTTAAGCCCAGGAGTTTGAGGCTGCAGTGAGCCAAGATTGTGCAATTGCACTCCAGCCTGGGTGACAGAGCAAGACCCTCTCTCTAAAAATAAATAAATAAAAAGGCTTCAAACTAGATGTAAAAAATTGAAAATAGATAATTCAATATAATTCATCTTACAATTTCATTGTAGACAGAATAAAAGACATAAAAATGTTATTATATAAGAGGTTTTTAAATTTCTGATCCACATAGAAACTTAAATTATGTGGTAATTTTTCTCTCTACTTTATTATTATTCCATTGTATTTCCCAAAAAAACAAAGAAATACGCAGAGTGGTCTTTTTTATAAAAAATATGAAAATAACATGGTATCTTCAACTTTCTATACAGGACCTAAACACAGGTAAAGCATTTTTGATAGATTATATCCTCCATAGATAGATATGTAAATTTATTGTTAGATGAGTGATAGAGTACTGAACAAGTAACTGAATAATTTGGAAAAGACTTTCATTTCCCTTACAAGTTTGTTACAGCTGTTTAAAAACACAAACATTGTATCCTCAGTGATAAGTATAGAAACATAGTTAAAATTTAGATACATTTTGAACTGACTAAATTGAATAAATACTATAAAATTATCTGAATGTATTTATGATTTTGGGAAATGTAGGATACGAAGGATTTGAAGAACAAAATAATATGTTGTGCATAAGTAAAAAAAGGAGAAATGATAAAAACAGGGAAAAAGTAAAAAAGGAAACATTTTGTTAGTTTTTGAACTCTGGCTATCTAGGAAATACTACCAACAAACATTTAAGTTGATTTATGAATTGATATAAATGATATCACTAAATTAAAAATATATTAATGAAAGCCATTTAAAATTTAATGTATATTTATTGGCATATTAATTCTATATATTTTAACTAGAAATAACCAATGACAAACTAACAAATGCTTTGTACCAATATTTTGGGGGTTTATTAGTCTTTTAGATATCTAAATTTGCTTTATTTCATTCATTATCACAAACTTAAGATTTTTTTGTCTTGTCAACTATTTCTAAATAATACATTTTAATTATATTCTAATTACAAATGTTATAATTATTTTTTGAAAACTTAAGAAGAAAATGCATAAGAACGAAGAAAGATTAAATTTTCACTCATAATCTTACCTAGAGAAATAACAATTTTTAACGTGAAATAATATTTCAGAAACTTGATGCTTCCATTTCTTTCTCTAATTTCCCATAATTATATAAATACACACATATATTCAATTATACGCATAAATATTTACTACTTGAATGCTTGACGATGATTGTCTGTCTCTTAAGCCTC
The DNA here is from genome assembly GCF_000001405.40 of Homo sapiens. Taxonomy (NCBI): domain Eukaryota; kingdom Metazoa; phylum Chordata; class Mammalia; order Primates; family Hominidae; genus Homo; species Homo sapiens. Next base: position 131,482,489 of record NC_000004.12, on the reverse strand, counting down.
TATTTTGGTTTGTACTTGTTTTAAAAGTTGAATATTGTATTGATTTGTTTCTTGTAGTTGCTTTTGTCGCTGTAACATCGTGTTGATCTGTTCTTTGTGTACTGCTATTCCCCAGTGCTTATATTTTCAGACCTCATTAGTCTATCTTCAGTTACTATTTCTGTGAATATATTTATTGTGATTATTTCTTCATATATTTCACATGCAGAACAATTGAAGTTGACTTGCCCTCCATCAGCAGCCAGCATTTGAGTTTAAAGTACTATTTTATAGTCATCAGTGAAAATGTATTAAGTAAGTATCTTCAAACATTATCCCTGGCTAACCAACTTATTTAAATTTTATATTGTCTAGTGTCATTTAAGTTTGACAAGGAAATGAGTGATTCACTAATTTGAGATGAATTTTGAAACTTCTTCTTTGTCAATATTTTATATATATATAAATAAAAACAAATAAAAATTATATATACATAATTTTAAATTAATTTTAAATTATATATATGTATAATTTTAAATTATATTCTTTAGGGACAGGGTCTTACTGTGTTGCCCAGGCTCGTGTGTGGTGGCCTGATCATAGCTCATTTCAGCCTTGAGTTCCTGTGCTCAAGTGATCCTCCTGCTTCAGCCTTCCAAGTAGTTAGAACTACAGGAGGCAAGTGCCACCCCATCGACTTTTTTTTTTTTTTTGAGGTCTCATCATGTTGCCCAGGCTGGTCTCAAACTCCTGGCTTCAAGCAATCTTCCTGCCTGGCCTCCTAAAGTGCTGGGGTTATAGGCATGAGCCACTGAGCTGAGTTTTATATGATCTCTATAGAGAGGTATGCCACAGAATGTCACTGAAACCATTGTTTATTAGAAGTCAACACTAAGGCCAGGCGCTGTGGCTCACACCTGTAATCCCAGCACTTTGAGAGGCCGAAGCAGGCAGATCACGAGGAGTTTGAGACCAGCCTGGCCAACATGATGAAATTTTGTCTCTACTAAAAATACAAAAATTAGCAGGGTGGGTGGCAGGCGCCTGTAATCCAGCTACTCAGAAGGCTGAGGCAGGAGAATTGCTTGAAACTGGAAGGTGGAGTTTGAGTGAGCCAAGATCCCACCACTGCACTGCAGCCTGGGCAATAAGAGCAAGACTCTGTCTCAAAAAAAAAAAAAAAAAAAAAAAGAAAACAAAAAGAAGTCAACACCAAGAGCTTATTATTATATTTTTTAAATTATACTTTAAGTTCTAGGTTACATGTGCACAATGTGCAGGTTTGTTACATATGCATACATGTGTCATGTTGGTGTGTTGCACCTGTTAACTCATCATTTACATTAGGTATATCTCCTAATGCTATCCCTCCTCCCTCCCCCGACCCCACGACAGGGCCCAGTGTGTGATATTCCCCACCCTGTGTCCAAGTATTCTCACCGTTCAATTCCCACCTATAAGTGAAAACACGTGGTGTTTGGTTTTCTGTTCCTGTGTTAGTTTGCTGAGAATGATGGCTTCGAGCTTCATCCAGGTCCCTGCAAAGGACATGAACTCATCCTTTTTTATGGCTGCATAGTATTCCATGGTGTATATATGCCACATTTTCTTAATCCAGTCTATCATTGTTGACATTTGGGTTGGTTCCAAGTCTTTGCTATTGTGAATAGTGCCACAATAAACATCTATGTGCATCTGTCTTTATAGCAGCATGATTTATAATCCTTTGGGTATATGCCCAATAATGGGATGGCTGGGTCAAATGGTATTTCTAGTTCTAGATCCTTGACAAATCACCATGCTGTCTTCCACAATGGTTGAACTAGTTTACAGTCCCATCAACAGTGTAAAAGTGTTCCTATTTCTCCACATCCTCTCCAGCACCTGTTGTTTCCTGACTTTTTAATGATTGCCATTCTAACTGGTGTGACATGGTATCTCATTGTAGTTTTGATTTGCATTTCTCTGATGGCCAGTGATGATGAGCATTTTTTCATGTCTGTTGGCTGCATAAATGTCTTCTTTTGAGAAGTGTCTGTTCATACCCTTTGTCCACTTTTTGATGGGGTTGTTTGATTTTTTTCTTGTAAATTTGTTTAAGTTCTTTGTAGATTCTGGATATTAGCCCTTTGTCAGATGGGTAGATTGCAAAAATTTTCTCCCACTCTGTAGGTTTCCTGTTCACTCTGATGATCACTTACTATTCAATAAGTTAGTAGTTTCTTTTGCTGTGCAGAAGCACCAAGAGCTTATTTTATACTTTGTAACCTTAGATAATATTTTAAACAAAACAGTAATGTAAAATGAACAAATAAAAATGTATATTGAAGTAAATACAATAACGAATACTTTTAAATTTAGGATACTTTGGTCACATGTAAAGATTTGCATTTTCAAAAGATGTGTACAGGAAAATAATGAAAAACATTCATGAGTTGCAGGTTTCTAAAAGTTAATTCATCACAATACTTTCAGAGGATAAAATTGTGAAACCATTTAATGCATAATCTGTAACCCTTGTCTTAAATTTCTACATATGAAATGTGATTATCTCTCCATCTATTCATCTATCTGTTCTTTGATTCATCCATCCATCTATTGATTTACCAAACACTTATTGAGTGTTGATATATTGTATAGATAATACACATTACGAAAATTAAATAAGACATGATAACTGTCCTCACTGTGCTTACAACTCAGTTTCTCTATGTAATTCTGAACTGATAATTATTCCCACTGTATATTACAATGAAGAAATATACATATTTGCATTTATTAAAGAAATACCATTACTTTGACTTCTTTACATCATGACCCAGTTCATCACACTGAGAGAGCATGCATAGAAAATGATGGGTATGTTTAGCAAATTCAGGTAGATAAAATTATTTTTCCCTACATTTAATATAATATTTGGGCATACAAACATTTATGTCAGGTAAAAATTAACTAACATCTACATACTCACAACAGAGCTTAAGCCATAATGTATAATAATGTTTGGCGATGCTTTGTAGTATACCTTTAATAACTGTCCCTTTCTTCCTAAAAGTGTTAACAAAAAGGAATCATTATTTCACTAATTTACATTTTGTGGACATTATCCCTGTGCAAATTATTGTTTCAGACTCTGGGTAAGTAGGAATAAACAAGTAAGAAATAATTTTTGCCCTCATTAAGCTTGTAGTTTACTCCAGAAAAAGTCATTAAAAATAAGCATATTGATCAATACCAAATTCAAATGGTGATAATTTTCATGACACAAAAGAGATGGCTTCTGTGAGAGAGACTATAAAGTGAAGGCAGGAGGTCAGCGGATGATAATTTTGAGAGAATAATCAGGAAAATACTTTCTTAGAAGTGATCTACCCATCAAGTTAGTCAGGTAGATGTAAGAAAAAAAATGATAAAAGGCAAAGGAATAGCTGGTATAAAATCTAGAGAAACTTGATGGGATAGGATCAAACAGGGCCTTTTATGGTACATGTTAAAAAGCAAGCACCCCTTGTTTTTAAGCATGGAGTGGAGCTATCTGATTCGCATTTTAAAATGATGAGTTTATCTGACCAACAAAAAATATATACTGGAAGAGGTCATACACAGAAGAACAGAGACCTATAAGGAAACAAATGTGTTCTATCAAGAACCGCATTATTACACTTTGCCCTTGTGCATTAGGAATTAATTTTTTTTTAAAGAAAACTGATTGATCTTACTTAGAATTAATAGAAATCATTGACAGATTGACTGTGGACTTACAAAAAAAGGAGTTTTCAGGTGATCAGTTAGGAGTTTTTATTTATGACTAAGAGTTTTTAGTGAATTGAAATATTTGGGAACGGAAGGTGAAACTGGTCACTAGGTGGAGGAACCAGCGATCAGGAATGTTTTTCCAGATATGAAAGCCAAAGAGGATTGATGTTTGGTCTTGGCCATCAAGCCAGTCTGGTGTTTGGAGACATAAACAGCCAACTGTGGGCACTACAAATTTCGTCCTTCAATGAAGGATGAGAAATGAAGCAATTTCTACAGAACTATACTTGAACAGTAGGAGTTTCAAGAAGTATCGAAGGAAAAGCTTTCAGGGTGTTGTAGAAAATTACATTACAGTAAGGTAACTATAGAGTGCCAGAGAGGTTGAATTTACATTCTCCCTAAACACTAGAAATGTACCTTTAAAGTACAGCAAATGCTTTCTACTTACAGACAAAACATGCAAGCAGTTTGGAAAGTCTTACTCAAACATTTATTCTCTGAGGCGAAGAACAATAGAAAAGGTTGCCTAACATGTGATGTCAAGTCATTTGCCTTTCAAGGCTTAATTTGCTTGCGTTGTGTCTTCCAGAACGGATAGTTATCTTTGCACCTATCACATTGCTGAGACTTTGGATTCTGATATATCCGTTCACTCTGCATCGACTTCCAGCTTCAGTTTCAGGCCTGATTCTATGTTTCCTCTTTCTAGTTTAAGTATACTTCTGATATAAATGACTGATCACTTATTATTCAACAAATATTTACTGAGCATTTTCAATACTCATATCAGTATAAAAAGACTGAGGTACTTCCACAAGCAAAAAAGGCTGTTGGCGCCTGTCTATATTGTAAGTGATGGCTCCAGGTCCCCAGGTTTCAAGCACTTTCATTTTGTTTTGTTTCTCACTGCCAAAAATTTCCTGGAACTTTTAAATATTAAATTATAAGTGCATCAATTGATGGAAGGCAGTCTCCCTATCATACAAAAATCACTTAAAGAATATTGTTGTTGAATATATAAATTACTTTGAGCAGTATGGCCATTTTCACGACATTGATTCTTCCTATCCATAACCATGAAAATTTTTTCATTTGTTTGTGTCCTCTCCTATTTCCTTGAGCAGTAGTTCGTCATTCTCCACGAAGAGGTCCTTCACATCCCTTGTAAGTTGTATTCCTGGGTATTTTATTCTCTTGGTAGCAATTGTGAATGGGAGTTCACTCACAATTTGGCTATCTGTCTATTATTGGTGTATAGGAATGCCTGTGATTTTTGTACATTGATTTTGTATCCTGAGACTTTGCTGAACTTGCTTATCAGCTAAAGGAGATTTTGGGCTGAGACGATGGGGTTTTCTAGATATACAATCATGTCATCTGCAAACAGAGACAATTTGACTTCCTCTGTTCCTATTTAAATACCCTTCTTTCTTTCTCTTGCCTGATTGCCCTGGCCAGAACTTCCAACACTATGTTGAATAGGAGTGGTGAGAGAGGGCATCCTTGTCTTGTGCCGGTTTTCAAAGAGAATGCTTCCAGCTTTTGTCCATTCAGTGTGATATTGGCTGTGGGTTTGTCTTAAATAGCTCTTATTATTTTGAGATACGTTCCATCAATATCTAGTTTATTGAGAGTTTTTAGCATGAAGATGTGTTGAATTTTATCGGAGGCCTTTTCTGCATCTCTTGCGATAATCATGTGGCTTTTGTCATTGGTTCTGTTTATATGATGGATTATGTTCATTAATTTGTATATGTTGAGCCAGCCTTGCATCCCATGGATGAAGCTGACTTGATCATGGTGGATAAGCTTTTGATGTGCTCTTGGATTCAGTTTGCCAGTATTATATTGAGGGTTTTTGCATCGATGTTTATCAGCATTATTTGCCTGAAATGTTCCTTTACTGTTGTATCTCTGCCAGGTTTCTGTATCAGGATGATGCTGGCCTCATAAAATGAGTTAGGGAAGAGTCTCTCTTTTCCTGTTGTTTGGAATAGTTTCAGGAGAAATGGTACCAGCTCCTTTTTGTACCTCTGATAGAAATCGGCTGTGAATCTGTCTGGTCCTGGGCTTTTCTTGGTTGGTAGGCTGTTAATTACTACCTCAATTTCAGAACTTGTTATTGATCTATTTAGGGATTCGACTTCTTCCTGGTTTAGTCATGGGAGGGTGTATGTGTCCAGGAATTTATCCATTTCTTCTAGATTTTCTAGTTTATTTGCATAGAGGTGTTTATAGTATTCTCTGATGGCAGTTTGTATTTCTGTGGGATCAGTGGTGATATCCCCTTTATCATTTCTTATTACATCTATTTGATTTTTCTCTCTTTTCTTCTTTATTACTATAGCTAGCGGTCTATCTATTTTGTTAATCTTTTCAAAAAACCAGCTCCTGGATTCACTGATTTTTTTGAAGGATTTTTTGTGTCTCTATCTCCTTCAGTTCTGCTCTCATCTTAATTATTTCTTGTTTTCTGCTAGCTTTTGAATTTGTTTGCTCTTGTTTCTCTAGTTCTTTAACTGTGATGTTAGGGTGTTGATTTTAGATCCTCCCGCTTCTTCATGTGGGCATTTAGTGCTATAAATTTCCCTGTCAACATTCCTTTAGCTGCGTCCCAGAGTTTCTGGTACGTTGTGTCTTTGTTCTCATTGGTTTCAAAGAACTTATTCATTTCTGCTTTAATTTCGTTATTTACCCAGTAGTCATTCAGGAGCAGGTTGTTCAGTGTCCCTGTGTTCTGAGAGACTGTTTGTTATGATTTCCATTTTTTACATTGGCTGAGGAGTGTTTTACTTCCAATTATGTGGTCAATTTTAGAATAAGTGTGACGTGGTGCTGAGAAGAATGTATATTCTGTTGATTTGAGGTGGAGAGTTTTGTGGGTGTCTATTACATCTGCTTTGTCCAGAGCTGAGTTCAAGTCCTGAATATCCTTGTTAATTTTCTGTCTTGTTGAACTGTCTAATATTGACAGTGGTGTGTTAAAGTCTCCCACTATTATTGTGTGGCAGTCTAAGTCTCTTTGTACATCTCTAAGAACTTGCTTAATGAATCTGGGTATTCTTGTATTGAGTGCCCAAGATATATTTAAGATAGTTATCTCTTCTTCTTGCATTCGTCCCTTTACCATTATGTAATGCCCTTCTTTGTCTTTTTTGATCTTTGTTTATTTAAAGTCTGTTTTATCAGAGACTAGGATTGCAACCCCTGCTTTTCTTGCTTTCTATTTGCTTGGTAAATATTCCTCTATCCCTTAATTTTGAGCCTCTGTGTGTCTTTGCATGGGAGATGGGTCTCCTGAATATAGCACACTGATGGGTCTTGACTCTTTATCCAATTTGCCTGTCTGTGTCTTTTAATTGGGGCATTAGCCCATTTACATTTAAGATTAATATTGTTATGTGTGAATTTGATCCTGTCTTTTTGATGCTAGCTCTTTATTTTGTCCATTAGTTGATGCAGTTTCTTCATAGTGTTGTGGGTCTTCACAAGTTGGTATGTTTTTGCAGTGGTTGGTACCAGTTTTTCCTTTCCATATTTAATACTTCCTTCAGGAGTTCTTGTAAGGAAGACCTGTTGGTGACAAAATCTCTCATCATTTGCTTGTCTGTAAAGGATTTCATTTCTCCTTTGCTTATGAAGCTTAGTTTTGCTAGTACCATTGAATATCTTCACAGAATAAGAAAAAACTACTTTTAATTTCATATGGAACCAAAAAAGAGCACATATAGCCAAGACAATACTAAGCAAAAAGAACAAACCTGGAGGCATCACGCTACCTGACTTCAAAATATACTACAAGACTACAGTAACCAAAGCAGCATGGCACTGGTACCAAAACAGATATACAGACCAATGGAACAGAACAGAGGCCTGAGAAATAACGCCACACATCTACAAGCATCTGATTTTCAACAAACCTGACAAAAACAAGAAATGGAGAAAGGATTTCCTATTTAATATGGTACTGGAAAAACTGGCTAGCCATATGCAGAGAACTGAAACTGGACCCCTTCCTTACATCTTATACAAAAATTAACTCATGATGGATTAAAGACTTAAATGTGAACCTAAAACCACAAAAACCCTAGAAGAAAACCTAGGCAGTACCATGCAGGACACAGGCATGGGCAAAGAGTTCATGACTAAAACACCAAAAGCAATGTCAACAAAGGCCGAAATTGACAAATGAGATCTAATTAAACTAAGTAGCTTCTGCACAGCAAAAGAAACTATCATCAGAGTGAACAGGCAACCTACAGAATGAGAGAAAATTTTTGCAATCTACCCATCTGAAAAAGGGCTAATATGAGGAATCTACAAGGAACTTAAAGCAATTTAGAAGAAAAAACAAACAACCCAATCAAAAAGTGAGGGAAGGATATGAACAGACACTTCTCAAAAGAAGACATTTATGCGGCCTACAAAGGATAAAAAGCTCATAATCACTGGTTATTAGAGAAATGCAAATCAAAACCACAATGAGATACCATCTCACGCCAGTTAGAATTGCAATCATTAAAAAGTCAGGAAACAACAGATGCTGGAGAGGATGTGGAGAAATATGAACACTTTTACACTGTTGGTGGGAGTATAAATTAGTTCAACCACTGTGGAAGACAGTGTGGCAATTCCTCAAGCATCTAGAACTAGAAATACCATTTGACCCAGCAATACCATTACTGGGTATATACCCAAGGGATTATAAATCATTCTACTATAAAGACACATGCACACGTATGTTTACTGCAGCACTATTCATAATAGCAAAGACTTGGAACCAACCCAAATGCCCATCAATGATAGACTGGATAAAGAAAATGTGGCACATATACACCATGGAATACTATGCAGCCATAAAAAAGCATGAGTTTCTATCCTTTGCAGGGACCTGGATGAAGTTCGAAGCCATCATTCTCAGCAAACTAACACAGGAACAGAAAACCAAACACCACATGTTCTCACTCATAAGTGGAGTTGAACAATGAGGATACATGGACAGAGAAGGGAACATCACACACTGGGGCCTATCAGGGAGTTGGGGGCAGGAGGAGGGACAGCATTAGGAGAAATATCTAATGTAGATGATGGGTTGATGGGTACAGCAAACCACCATGGCACATGTTTACCTATGTAACAAACCTGCACGTTCTGCCATGTATCCCAGAACTTAAAGTATTATAATAATAAAAAAGAAGAATGTTTTATCTAAGCACGTTAATACAACACCTAATGTGATCTCAGGAAGATAAGTGTTAATTCTCAATAAATATATATTTAATAGTTGACAAATTATTTACAATGATTAAACTTCAGTTGAGAAAAAATGGGCTTTGGAATAATTTGTTAAGAGCAGCTTTTACAAAAAAGTTGGAAATTTGCCTCCTTGGGAAGCTCCAATCCTTGGAAATGCAATCTTGAAAATATAATATAAAACATAAATATACTTCACTAAGTCTGGTCATATTTGCTACTAAAATTAGAGAGAACAATGTAATTTTTGTCTATCCTAGGCAACTTATGTCACAAGATTATATTTTTCTTTTCTTATAACTTGAAATTATCACTTTTGGTGGGTTTATCTTCTTTCTGAAATCAGAGATTTAGAGTGTGAGATAGATTATACTGCCGGTCTTGATGAAATTAAGTTGCCATGCTGTGAAAGCACCAAGTAGGTAGGACTCAAGGGTTAGCACTAGAAGCCAATTTTGATCCCTGGGCCAAAAGCTAGTAGGAAAGTAGAGATTTTAGTCCTACAATTGTAAGAAACTGAATTCTGTCAACAACCACATGTTCTAGGGATAGGGCCCAAGCCTTAAATGGGAACAAGCCCTGGCCAAGAGTTAGATTTCAGGCTTGTGAGACCCTAAGCACAATGCGTGCTAATTTTGTGCCCAGAATTCAAACTCAGAGAATGGGGAGATCATAACTACGTATGCTTTTAAGCTACTAATTTTGTGATATTGTGTTCTGAAGCTTTCTATAAGAAAATAATAGATAAATAATAATTTATATTGTGAGGACCACATTTGGTTACGGTATTATAATGTACCATTCTTCTTTACTATCACAGAAAAAGTAGTAACATTGGAAAAATATTTATAACCATTCCTCCTTGCCAGCCTTAATATTTGTCATTCTATTTTGGGTTGAATTGTGTCCCACCAAAATTGATATGTTGATGTTCTAATCCCCGATACTTCAGAGTGTGACTATATTTAAAGATAGGGCCTTTAAAAAGGTAATTTAGTGGAAATGAGGTCATTAAGGTGGGCCCCAATGTTGTTATAGTAAGAGAACATTTGGACATGAACATCTGCAGAGGAAAGATGATATGAAGACATGGAGAGAAGAAAGCCATCTATAAGCCAAGAAGAGAGGTCTCAGAGGAAACGAAAGTTGATGACAACATGAGTTTGGACTTCTAGTCTCAAGAACCATGAAGAAAATAAATTATATGTTCGTTATTGTTGTTGTTTTGTTTGTTTTTAGCCACCAGTTGTTCTTTGCTAGAGCACCTCTAGCGAACTTACGCAGATCCCATACAGTACATAGTTTAACTACATCAAACTTGACACTACCCTTCTGCATTTGGCCTTTTATATGTCAAAATTTCAAGTCATATTCTACCTTTACTGTGATACTTTACAGTTATTTAAAATAAGCTATTTAAAAAATGAACACACAGAAGCAGAGAACAGAACTGTGGCTACAGGAGGCTAGAGAGTGGAGGAATAGGGAGACTGGTCAAAGGGTGCAGTGTTTCAGTTAGACAGGAGGAAGAAAAGGGCCAGTATTTGAAAATATATACTTTTAAAGAAACCAAAAAGATTCACTAAAAATAAAAAAAACTGTTAGTAATCTATAACATAAGGAGATTTTACTATATATTAATTTTTATTACTTAAATAAAGTATTGGATAGATTGAGTAGAAATTTCTACTGCTGTCAAATTGTAATTTTAAGCCATGTTTACATATCAGAAAACACCAAATTATTCCTTTCAATCATGCATTAAATTTAGAAGCATACTATATAGATACTGGATAATGTACTATATTGGAGACGACTAAATAATTAGACATTTTTTTTTTCTCTGAGGTAGCTTAAAACTAAGTTAGTCAGAATATAATAAAATTCATCATTTTCTTTGTATAGTACCTAAGCACTTTGCCTTTATCCTTAACTCATTTTCCCCAATTATTGTGAAATTGAGGAAGCAATTACAAGATGAGCATAAATAATTATGCTACTCAGTGGCCCAGCAAACTTCCAGACAGACCTGTAGCCTTCTGAGTTATGAAGAGTGAACTATACCAGTGTTGGGTTAGACAGCCACACAGAAAAATGAGCAGATTTCTGAATTGAGAGCTGAGAGCTACATATTTTATAATAATATCATTTTATAAATTAAATTATAAATAAATTAAATTAAGTTATTTTAATTAGAGTTTGTAAAAAATGATCAAGATGACCTGGACTAAAATAAATTCAATAAAGAACTAAACCAATATCCTAATTTGCACATTCCAGGGAGATAATTCTTATTTTGTACAATTGATGATGAGTTTGGATCATTAAAAATATTCTGGCAGATTTTTCAAAAGGTGATTTAATACCTGTCTTTGTCTTTTTCTACTGCTCGAATAAAATACCTAAGAATGGGTTGTTTATAAAGGAAGACATTTATTTCTCATAGCTGTGGAGGCTGAGAAGTTCAAGATCAAGGTGCTGGTAGGCTTGATGTTTGATGAGGGCCTTGTTTTCTCTTTCCAATGTGATGTCTCGTTGCATCCTCCTGAGGAGTCAAATACTGTTTTCTCACATATCAGAAAGTAGAAGTGCAAAAAGGGCCTAACATGGTTCCCTTCAGCTCTTTTATAAGACAATAACCTCATTCATGATGACTGAACCCTCATGACTTAATCACTTCCCCAAATGCTTCATCTCTTAATACTGCCACAGTGGAGATAAAGCATCTACATGAATTTTGGAAGGAGTACATTTTAAACTATAGCAGTTCCATTCTTTTAATATTCAACTGAGATTTTTATATTCTGTCTTCTTAAATAATGCACTTAAATTTTATGTTGAAATTCATGTTCAAAAAAAAAGATACAGCCTAATGATCTGTATAAAGACTTAGGAAAAGGTGGTAGTCATAGAACCTTTGTTTAGAATTTGCTGACTCATGCTTAATTAAGATCTCAGCCATTATAGTCCATCAATGTTGTTTCTTGGATATAATTGTGCCTATAATGATTTAGCAGTATTTAATTATTACCTACTCATAAGACCTATATACCTGCTATTTTTTAAGCAATAATTATGAGGTGAATTGGTGTTAATCCAGAATTTTTAAATCTGCATGTATAAATACAATGAAGGCCAGATACTCAACCAAATACACAAGCATAATTTTTTATAACAAAACATTATCTAAAAAGGTTTTTTTGCTATCAATAATATTATCAGAAATAAGCCATTAAATGTGAAATGTACCAAAATTACCTTACGAAAATATGATTGTAACCTTCTGTATTTAAAAAATAAAAGATTTGAAAAAGATGAAATTTAAGAAATTGACTATTTAAGATCTTAAAATATTCCAAGCAGGTGCACATACACACACACGTTTATGTAAAATGTATAATGCCACTCTTGCTTAAATGGAGCAAGATTCTATGATTATGGATCAGTCCATTTTCATCCTGCTGATAAATAAATACCCCAGGCTGGGAAGAAAAGAGGTTTAATTGAACTTACAGTTCCACAAGACTAGGGAGGCCTCAGAATCATGGAAGGAGGCAAAAGGCACTACTTACATGGTGGTAGCAAGAGAAAATGAGAAAGTAAAAGTGGAAACCCCTGATAAACCTATCAGATCTTGTGAGACTTATTCACTATCACGAGAAAAGCATGGGAAATAATGCCCCCCATGATTCAATTAGCTCCCCCTGAGTCCCTTCCACAACACATGGGAATTCTGGGAGATATAATTTAAGTTGAGATTTGGGTGGGGACACAGCCAAATCATATCATACAGCCCCTGGCCCCTCCAGATCTCATGTTCTCACATTTCAAAACCAATCATGCCTTCCCAACAGTCCCCCAAAGTCTTAACTCACTTCAGCATTAAATGACTTTCAGCAGAAGTCCACAGTCCAAATTCTCATCTGAGACAAGGAAAGTCCCTTCTGCCTATGAGCCTGTAAAATCAAAAGCAAGCTAGTTACTTCCTAGATAAAATGAGGGTACAGATAATTGGATAAATACAGCCATTCCAAATGGGAGAAATTGGCCAAAATGAAGGGGTTATAGGGCCGATACAAGTCCAAAATCCAGCAAGGCAGTCAAATATTAAAGCTCCAAAATAATGTCCTTTGACTCCAGGTCTCACATTCAGGTCACGCTAATGCAAGAGGTGGGTTCCCATGGTCTTGGGCAGCTCAGCCCCTCTGGCTTTGCAGGGTATAGCATCCCTCCCAGCTGATTTCATGGGCTGGTGTTGAGTGTCAGCGGCTTTTCCAGGCTCACGGTGCAAGCTGTCGGTGGACCCCATTCTGGGGTCTGGATGACAGCGGTCCTTTTCTCACACCTCTGCTAGGCAGTGCCCCAGTAGGGACTCTGTGTGGGGGCTCTGACTCCACATTTCCCTTCTGCACTGCTCTAACAAAGATTCTCCATAAGGGCCCAGCCCCTGCAGGAAACTTCCGCCTGGGCATCCAGGCATTTCCATGCATCTTCTGAAATCTAGGTAGAGGTTCCCAAATGTCAATTCTTGACTTTTGTGCACCTGCAGGCTCAAGACTACATGGAATCTGCCAAGGCTTGAGGCTTCCACCCTCTGATGCCACAGTCCGAACTGTACATTGGCTTCTTTCAGCCACAGCTGAAGCAGCTTGGACACAGGGCACTAAGTCCCTAGGCTGCACACAGCACAGGGGCCCTGGGCCTGGCCCATGAAACCGTATTTTCCTTCTGGGCCTCCGGGCCTGTGATGGGAGGGGCTGCTGTGAAGGTCTCTGACATGGCCTGGAGACATTTTCTCTTTGGTCTTGAGAATTAACGTTAGGCTTCTTGCTACTTGTGCAAACTTCTGCATCTGGCTTACATTTATCCCCAGAAAAACGGGTTTTTCTTTTCTATCACATAACCATCCTGCAAATTTTCCAAACTTTTATGCTTTGCTTCCTTTATAAAACTGAATGCCTTTAACAGTACCCAAGGTACCTCTTGAATGTTTGCTGCTTAGAAATTTCTTTTGCCAGATACCCTAAATCAATTCTCTCAAGTTTAAAGTTTCACAAATCTCTAGGGCGGGGGCAAAATGCTACCAGTCTCTTTGCTAAACCATAACAAGAATCACCTTTGCTCCACTTCCCAGTAAGTTTCTCATCTCCATTTGAGACCAGCTCAGCTTGGATTTTATTGTTCGTATTGGTATCAGCATTTTGGGCAAAGCCATTAAAGAAGTCTCTAGGAAGTTCCAAACTTTCCCACATTTTCCTGTCTTCTTCTGAGCCCTCCAAACTCTTCCAACATCTGCCTGTTTTCCAGTTCCAAAGTTGCTTCCACATTTTTGAGTATCTTTTCAGCAACATCCCACCCTCAGTACCAATTTACTGTATTAGTCCGTTTTCATGCTGCTGATAAAGATATAACTGAGGCTGGGAAGAAAAAGAGGTTTAATTGGACTTAACAGTTCCATGTGGCGGGGGAGAATCATGGAGGGAGGCAAAAGGCACTTATTACATGGTGGCAGCAAAAGAAAACGAGGAAGAAACAAAAGTGGAAACCCCTGAGAAACTCATCAGATCTCATGAAACTTATTCACTATCACGAGAATAGCATGGAAAAGACCAGCCCTCATAATTCAATTACCTCCCCCTGGGTCCCTCTCACAACACATGGGAATTCTGGGAGATACAATTCAAGTTAAGATTTGGGTCGGAACACAGCCAAACCATACCAGATTATAAGTTAAATGGATGGAAAGATGACATTTCAATGTTTAAATATAGTCACAGGAACAGTAAACATGTAACTCACCACATTTAACAGAATGGCCATTTTAGGAGTTTATTTATCATTCTCTACATTGTTACAATAATTTATTCCTCAAAAATTTATATTGTATATCCAATGAAATTAAATAATAATAGTGAAAAATTACAACCACATATTTTAGAAATTTAATAGATGTATATTATCTTTCAAAAACATATTTAAAAAAGCCTATTCTTACAGTATAAAACAGCATGTATCTTGAAGAGAGAATGTTGCTTATTTTGGCACTTGTCAAAATATTTCTTCTTCTCAACGAGTATAACTTAATATCTCACCAAAACCAAGTATAATCTGTTATACTATTGTGCAATAAAATGATGAAAAATACTTACCTTCAAAAAATTTTTCAAAGAAGATAATTATAGTGTTGAGAGAGGACTATGCAATTTCAAACCATAACTATTAAGATACTATAAAGATGCCAATTTCTGTGCCTTCTAGGCTTAGATCATGTGCTAAAGATTATTTTATTTTTTAACATAATCTATAGATGGAAGTCAGTTGGTGTTGATACTGAAGGGTTCACATTCTGTCATCACCGAAGGCTTATCTGAGCTCTGTAAGACCCAGTTTCACCTGATGACAATCACAAATGTTACATGATTCATTGACCATAGTATGGTTTAAAGAGAAGTTGTGAAATGATTATTTATTAGGTATGTATGTAGCAGGTAAAAAATACAAAACACAATAGCTTGGTCATAAATTATTTCTTTTGATACTTATGACATCCAGAGGCACAGAGAGGACATTGCATTTTGAAGAAAAACAAGGTTTTCAAAGTCTAGTTTTTCTTCTGACTTAACATTCTCTAGCCACTATTTCTTATAATTTCTTAAATTTAAATATGTTGTGTAGGGTTTAAGGTATGGTTGAAGACTTAAAGACAAAGTGTAAGCTTAGTTTTCTTACATTACATTAGTTACATTTAAAGATATGTAGTAGAGTGAACTTAATTAAAATATAAAAGTAATTTACTTTTTATTATTTAAAAGTATGAATAATTTAAATCAACTGCGTATCCTTTGGGAGAATTTTTTTGGGGGCATGACTAGCCCACATGAGGAACGAAAATAAAGCATTTCAAAGATGGCTTTTTCAGAATTTTTACTTTGGGCAAGTTTCACAAAATTTGAGCACAAAAAAAAATTTAAAACATAGCAAAAATTTAGCACTTAGATATAAGATCGTTTGGATTATATATACATACAATTAAATATAATGCCTCTCTCACAGCATCTTTATTTCCTTTAACTTAAAAATATTACTTCTTAATAATTAGTTATATTTTTAATTATCTTCCCCATAAAGACCACAGATTTAAAAATAATAAATACATTTGTCTTGTTCATACTTTAATATCTGAACTTCAGCAGAATGTCTAGTTTAGAATATAAATTAATACATATTACTTGACTAGCAAAACACTGTTTTAAAACCATCTCCTAAAGAAAATCAGTTAATTTTTGAAGAATATATAGAAGGATATATCCATTACTTTTAAATACATATAATTAATAAAAGGGCTGTTATGAAAATTATGTTACTTGAAACATATCAACAAAGTGGGGCATTTATAAATGATCAGATACTTAGCCTTAATTTAACTAACAAAGTGAAAGATGTGTACTTTGAAAACTACAAAATATTGATGAAGGAAATTAAGTGAGGCACACAACAATGGAAGGACATTTAATATTTATGGATTGGAAGATTCAATATTGTTAAGATGTCCATACTAAACAAAGAGACCTAAACTTTTAATGGAATCCCTATTGAAATCTCAATAACCTTTCTTATAAGAACAGAAAAAAACAATTCTAAAATTCATAAGGAACCACAAAAAAACTCAATAGCCAAATCGATTTTGAAAAAAAAGACTAAAGGTGGAGACATTGCACTTCTTGATTGACAATAAAAAGCATCACAAAAGTACAGTAGTTAGAACAGTATGGTACTAGAACAAAGACAGAACTACAGACCAATGGAACAGAATAGAGAGCTCAGAAATAAATTCACACGTAGATATTCAATTGATCTTCAATGTATTAGTCAGGGTTCTCTAGAGACACAGAATTAATGAAATATATATAAAATTATATATATTTTTATATAATTATATATATTTACATATAATTATATATAATTGGATATTAATATATTAATAAATATATAATTAGATATAATTTTATGTATTTCATATATATGTATTTCATATATAATAAAACATATTATATATATAAATATATATATATATAAAGGGGAGTTTATTAAGTATTAACTCACACCATCACAAGGTCCCACAATATGCTGTCTGTAGTCTGAGGAGCAAGGAGAACCAGTCCCAGTTACAAAACTCACAAATCTGGAGTCTGATGTTAGAGGGCAGGAAGCATCCGGCATGGGAGAAAGATGTAGGCTGGGAGGCTAGGCCAGTCTCTTTTCACATTTTTCTGCCTACTTGTATTCCAGCCATGCTGACAGCTAATTAGATTGGCCCCACCCAGATTAAGGGTGGTTGTGCCTTTCCAAGCCCACTGACTCAAATGTTAATCTCCTTTGGCAACACCCTCACAGACACAAGAATCAATAATTTGTATCATTCAATCCAATCAAGTTGACACTCAGTATTAACCATCACATTCTATAAAGGTGCCACGTTACACAATAAGGAAAGGATAGTTTCTTCAACAGACGGTGTGGGGGAAATTGGATATCTATCTAGCTTTTTCCATTGTGGAAAACAGAATGAAGATTCATCAAAAATTAAAAATAAAATAAAGCTACTCAGAAGAGTGTGGTGGCTTATGCCTGTAATCACAGCACTTTGGGAGGCCAAGGGGGTGGATCACTTGAGGTTAGAAGTTCAAGACCAACCTGGCCAACATGGTGAAACCCCATCTCTACTAAACATACAAAAAAAATCCGGGCATGGTGGGGAGTGCCTCTGGTCCCAGCTACTCAGGAGGCTGAGGTGGGAGAACTGCTGGAATCCGGGAGGCGGAGGTTGCAGTAAGCTGAGATTGTGCCATTGCACTCCAGCTGGGTGACAGAGCGAGGCTTCATCTCAAAAATAAAATAAAATAAAATGAAATAAAATAATGTAATAAAAATTAAAAAAATAAAGCTACCATACCCACTTTTAATATTACTCCAATATAATTGAAATCCTTAAGAGATATAACAACTCCCACACTAACTGCAGCTCTATTCACAGTAGCCAACATGTGTAAACAATCTAAATATCCACCAACAGATGAATGAAGAAAATGTGGTATACATATATATAATGGAATATTATTCAGCCTTAAAAGAAGGAAATCCTACAACATGTGAACAACATAAATGAACCCAGAGGGCATTATGTTAAGTGAAATAAGCCAATCACAGAAATACATATATTGCATGATTCCACTTATATAAAATATCTAAAATATACAAAAACATAGGTGCAAAGAATAGAATAATGTTTATCAGGGACTGGGGGAGGTGAATGGGGAGTTACTAGTCAACACATACGCAATTCCAATTATGCAAGAGAAATTAGTTCTAGAGCTCTGATATACAACCTTGCACCTATAGATAACAATATTATATTTAACACTTAAAATTTGTTGAGTAAACTTTGCGTGTTCTCACTTACATGTGAAAAATGAAAGTTAAAACAACTGAACTCATGGAGACTAGATTTATGGTTACTAAATGCTGGGAATGGTAGTGGTGATGAGACATAAAGTAGGAGTGGTTAACGAGTGCAAAAATATAGTTGGAATGAATATTATCTAGTATTTGATAACACAACAGTGACTATAGTCAACAATAATTTATTATTTCAAAATAACTACAAGAGTAAAATTGGAATGTTTCTAACAAAAATAAATGATAAAGGAATACCCTATTTACCCTGATCTGATTATTACACATTGCATGCCTGTATCCAAATATTGCATGCACCCCAATAATATATACACTTATTATGTACCCATTATAATTATAAATAAAAAATTTAAAAAACGTGTTGAGTGTAGATCTCATGCTTAGTGCTCTTATAAAATAAAATTTAAAAAAATAAAAAAGAAATCATAGCAGCTAATTTCTTTCAAATATCTAGCTCACTACAAAGTAAATAACTTTCAACCTAATTTCTAAGAAATGTTTTTGTCTTAATAACATATTAAACAAAAATAAAAATCATAGTGCAGAAAATAATCATTTTAACACATTTAGCAATATCATATATATAAGATAATTTGTGTTTTAATTTAGTTTATTTTTCCATGCTATGTTTTCTGTCAAAACTGACTTTTTTCTTTATTTTGTTTTCATAATCTTTTTTCTTTTGGAGGGCAAGCAATGGTTTCATTCCTGAGTAGAGTGTCATCTATATTCTTAGGTTATTTTCACAGTTACTGACAACAGAAATGAAAGAAATGATCAAAATAGCAATTTCTTATTGAGCATGATTATGTTATATATCTATTGACTTATCTCTATAGTTGCCAAAATAGTCTTCAGATATTTATTTTATTTCATTTTGAGAACCAAATCAACATGAAAATATGCAAGAAAATTTGAAAAATAGCCTGGTATTTTTATTTTAAAACATTCATGCTCTTTACTATTGACCATAATTATACTTTTGTAGTTTGCATTTTTTGCCATTTTTAACTGTAAGTCATTTTTATTTTAACCTCGTTTTTGTTAGTTAAAATAAAATTTGTCAGCAAGTAAGTCCATTGGCATTAAAACACTTGTAGTTTAACAATTAAAAACAGAAAACCATGCATTATTCATAATAGATTCAAATATATTTGTTGAATATATTCTGCAATTATATATGTAGGAATATCTTAACAAAGATACATATTCAATTTAAAAATTACATGGTTAATGCATTTATTCATTAAAATTATGAACGTACAACATGAAAGGTGTTGGTTAAGTTGAATATGTTGAGATTTAATATCAATACTAGATTGAACAGGGAATTTTCTCCATTCATTCATTCAACATTCAGCATTCAAAAATTATTTATTGAGCACCTGTGATGTATTCCAATAGCTGAGAACACAGTAGCAAAAATGACACAGTATCACTAACATCACAATGTGTGCCTTTGTAAAGTGCTATAATTTCTATATATGATAGTATATGACACTATTACCACAGTAGAATAAAGAGGTAGCAAAGAATGGCAAAAGTAATTATTGTAGATAAGGTGGTCAAAGAAGATGTTTAAAAAAAGACCCAAAAGTAATTGATGAGTACATAGTGATAAGACAGTAAATTAAGTGAAGATCTATCTAACCGATAGAGAGCATAACAAGCACAAAGGGCTGGTTCTTTTTTAAACATTACAAAATCTGTTTAAAAGAAAATATTAATAATATTAATATTAAATAGTATGCATCTATAAGTTTTTTTACCCATATTTTGTCAAAAATTAAGGTTCTTGATCCTTTTATGTGCCACTCTGCTTCTTACACATCTTTGATTACAGGCTCTTAAAACTCCCATTTTATCTATGGCTTCTCCTCTGTAGAGTGTTCACTTACGTGTTATTCCTCTTACAGTATCTAGGGTATATTGTCAGATCACTGACTGCTAGCTGTATTCCCTAAGTCAGAAACACTTACTCAATGGAAACAGAAACGTTTTAGGTTTGTATTTGATTTTGGGGGAGAACATTTAATTTTAAGATATTAACACAGATAATAGAAGGCTATTCATATAATCTGAGGGATGGATTTTTTAATTTTTCAAGGATCTTCAAATAGTTTTGTATTTTATTACCATTATTACCATATTAATTTACTCATGAGTGATGTGCAAGCCTCTTTGTGATGTACAGGGAAATGCAAATACAAAGTCAAAGGAGACATTCTCACATTGGATATTATTACATTTCAGTGTTTAGCGTCAAATTTTCTAGGAGGAATTTTTTTTTCCCCAAATGGATTCACCATCTGATGGCATGAACTTATAAAATATCAAATAGAGCAAAGTTCCTAGTGCTCTATCATCTCACAGATCTTTCTTTCACAAATATGCAAATTTTACCGATTACCAGATTTACATCCTTCTGTTAGCTTGTAAATGAGTCCAGAGGGAAATATCTCAAAGCAATATCTTTTAGAGTTTCTCATTATTCTTTTATCAGGCATAAAAAGCTAAATTAATTAGATATGTGTTAGTGTGTATTATATTTAATGCATCATTCACTTATTCACATGTGCAGACATCCAGAAAATGTTTGCAGACTCTTGTTTTTGTCACACAATTCTACCTAAGTAGACTTAGGGACAGATCATTCAATGGCCTGCAGAATTTTTCACACTTTTACTCAACATTTTTAATGCATTAGGTGTACCAAGCTTTGTGCCAGATACTGGGATATAAAGATAAAATAAAATAGTTCACTGCTCTTTGGAAGCCACAGCATATCTATAAAGACAATACGAGAGCTAAACAATGACTACATAATAATAAGTATAATGATTATGCCTCACTCTGCATTCAACTCAGTGTGCTTTATTTACTGAGACTGCACTTTGGAATTCTAAATAAAAGGTGATTTATTTGCCAAACTTAAATCTACGACTCTCCCACTGGCCAGATGAGTCTTAATGTCCCTCCACTCTCCAAATTTTATACACACCAGAGAATATGGAATCAAATGTATAATCTAACTAGTTGAATATTGTATAATAACCCCTCTATATAATTTTTAACATTGATATATATACATACATATATGTATATGAAGAAGTGGGGAAGCATTAAATAAATGTCTAAGTGTTGGCAGTCTAAATTCTTTGGAGGGGGCCGATTTTGACTCATCCTTCTGAAAACATCCTTCTGAAAATTTTAGAAAATAAAGAGGATCTTTTTGCTTCACATTTTGATAGAGCATATTACATGTAAAAAGAATGGAATCAAATGCAATATTTATATGAGGGGGTTTAAATTTTATTTTTTTCACTAGTAAATGTATTGCCTGTCTTAGAGAAAGAAGTTGAGACTATCAGAACAAAAGGGATTTATCTTCTTAGTATTAGTTGTAACACAGATTGCAGGTGCAATCAATAGGAAAACTAAAGGTGTGAGTCAGGGATGTTTTTTGACCACTACCAGAAAGTGCTCACTTAATTAACCTGCTTACTAAGGTGGTAAAAAGGGGTCGAGTATACTCTAAGCAAGGGAAAATGAAAGGAGATTTTTAAGTAGAACACCATCCTTATTAAGCTAAAAAAAAATTCACAGGTAAGGATATGGGGAAAGAAAATCTTAAAGTAACAAGGGGCAGCTGATACCGATACTGTTTCTTGAGTCCTGTATTCTCTGTGAGTTTTCTTACTATTTGTGGCTTCTGCTATTACCGATCTTGTCCCTGAGGATTATATTTCACACTACAACAGTAGGGTTGTGTAGTTGTGACAGAGACCATATGTACTGCCCACAAAGCAGAAAATATTTGCCATCTGGCTCCTTATAGAAAAAGTTTGCTGACTCTGGTACTAAGTGTGCCATGGAAAGCCTTGCAAATGAAATGATTATTGAATTTGTCTTGAAAGTAAGATGCTACATTTACACGTTCATAGAGATGCAGGGAAGACAAGCCCCAAAACTGAAGCTTAGCCCCAGAGACCTCTTGGCTTCACTCAGGAAGAAATTCAAGGGCAAGCCTGTGGTGTCAGCAACTTTTACTGAAGCAGCAATGAACATCATCATCAGTAGCAGCAGCAGTAGCAGAGGTACTGCCCCTTGTGGAACAGGGCTACCCCAGTGGCAGTGTGCCCAGAGTAGCAGTGTATGGGCTGTTGGCAGTGGTATTTATACCCTCTTTTAAGTATATGCTAATTAAGAGCTGGGTTATTCAGAAATTTCTGGAAAAGGGGCAGGGAGTTTCCAGAACCATATAAGGTAACTTCTGGGCCATTATCATGACCTGTTGCTATGTCATTTGTAAATTTTCATGGCACCAGTAGGAGTGTCTTCGTGCTAAAAAGCAGCGAGGAAAACCAGAGATCGCTTTTCTCTGTCACCATGGGCTGGTTTCAGCAGGCTTCTTCACTGCACACTGTTTCAACCACATCCTGCTCTGATCAGCAGTGTGGAGACTGGGGTCATCACCAGTGCTTGGAAAACAAGCCCTGCTGATCTACTACCTCAATAGTATGTTGATATCTTAGAAATTCTATAGCCTTTGAACTTACAGGAGATAGTCAGCAAGCCACAGTAATAGATGCTCACCTTTTCATGAAATTGTATTCAAAGTGGATTTTTATCACTACTTTAAAACACAGAGAATTTTCAACAGAATCACAATGACAGTATTTAGATATCAAGTTACACGTTTTTCAAAAGAAAAATATTTCACTATTTTAATAAGCACAGTTATGAACTGTATTTTAAAATTAATAATAAGATCCAAATAGTTGTATATTATATTATATATACTTCCTTTGTGGGATTAATGCCTAATTAACCTGATCAACATGTATATATGAAAAAACAGAGTGACACTAATTTTATTCTAATAAATTATTTTAAAATTTAAAAGATTAATTTAAAATTTATTTTGAAAAGTAGAAAGTGAGAAATTGTATTAACATATAACTCTTCATTTTCCTACAACTATTTAGGTGGAGAAATTATAATTTCACCCATAATATGTATTTTAACAGATAAAAAAGCTTGTTGTCACTGAGCAGTTAATTTGAAAATATTTTTTAGTTTTCTAAATGTAGTTGTTACCTGCTCTTTGAACTTCTATCTAACTACTATAATCTTAGAAAAACCACAAATTTCAAACAAATGAGGTAAGTAGTCAGCCTTTGTTCTGGGTCTATACTTTTTTCTCAGATGATTAAAAGTAATCATCTTCTTCCTCTTTGCTAAATCACATCACTCACTGAAATCTTTTTCTAATCATAAATGTCAGATCCACTCTGAAGCATTATCAGATTATAGTACCACTGTATAATTCAATAACTCCTTTAGACATTACAGTATTATTGTTTATATGTCTTATGCAAAAATAATGGGTAGCGAGAGAAGACAAAATGACAGATGGACAGATGCATGGATGACTGAATAGGTAGATAAGTTATTAAGGATAAACAGATAATAGTAACTAGAGAGAGAGATAGATAGATAGATAGATAGATAGATAGATAGATAGATAGATAAATAAAAAGAGCCACTTAACAACCTAATTGGAAGTTACATGTGGACAAAGGATTATACCCTAAACTAGCATTAAATTCAATTATATTTTAGATCTTTTTAAAAAATAAGTAACACAATTATCTCAAAAGACTCCAGGTAAAAAAGATGGCTCTTTTTTTTTGAGACATGACGGTTCTTATAATCATTAAAAATAGTATGTGTAACCTTGCTCTTATTCACAGTTTTACACTCTTTGAAATGCTTGTCTCTTATTTATGCCTTGAAGAACTTCTAGTTCCCAATGCCCACATTAAAAGCATGAAACTTTTGAAGTTCCTCAGTCATGCATTTTCCTCTCTCTCTTTTTCTGTGTATTGTCCCCTCTACCCCACTACTTGTCATTAGCTACCTTTCACTATCTTTTGTATATATAGTATCTCTTTTCCTTATCAGAGCACATGCCATCCTGCTTACATTGTTTCCTCTACATAACACAGTGCAAAACTGAAACAGTCAATAAACGTCTACTGGATTAAAGAGACAACAAAGTTTAAGGAAGTAAATACACTTTTCTTCATAAGGGGAAGAAAATAGAATATCCCATGTGTTTTGTTGTGGTTTGCAATAGGACCACTTGTTCTGGGTTAGTTTTCATAAACATTTGTTGTCTTCACCACAAAATGTCTACTTTTCTACGTGGCATGCTGCAAGAACCATGACAACTTTCAATTGATCATAGATACTGTTAAATTAATCTTAAAGAAAAGTAAGTTCGTTAGTCTTGGTGTGCATAAAGTTGATGGGATATTTTGTAAAAGATTGGCTAGAGAGATTTTAGAGATGACAAAAAATGGGAGAAAAAAGCTGCTTACCCAAATTCTTTATTTCCCTATATGTTATGTGTTTTTTTTTTCCTGTTTCATGCCCACTGGACAAAACATTCTGACAGTAGTTCATCCCTATCACTGACAGATATTTAGGAGACTTCCACTTTATTCTGGATAAAAGTCATAACATATTTTAGACAAAATGCAAAGAAAACTGATAACATTTAAGAAGGAATGAAAATTATTTCATGAAAGGAGAAAAGTAGGAAGAAAGAAATAAGGGAGCAGTTTGAGAGAGAAGGAAAATTCTTTTATTATTATTATTATTATTATTAAGTTCTAGGGTATATGTGCACAATGTTCAAGTTTGTTACATAGGTATACATGTGCCTTGCTGGTTTGCTGCATCCATTAACTTGTCATTTACATTAGGTATTTCTCCTAATGCTAACCTTTCCCCTGCCCCCGACTCCATGACAGGCCCCTGTGTGTGACGTTCCCTGCCCTGTGTCCAAGTGTTCTCACTGTTCAACTCTCACCTATGAGTGAGAATATGTGGTGTTTGGTTTTCTGTCCTTGTGATAGTTTGCTCAGAATGATAGTCTCCAGCTTGATCCATGTCCCTGCAAAGGACATGAACTCATCTGTTTTTATGGCTGCATAGTATTCCATGGTGTATACGTGTTACATTTTCTTAATCCAGTCTATCATTGATGGATATGTGGGTTGGTTCCAAGTCATTGCTATTGTGAATAGTGCTGCAATAAACATATGTGTGCATGTGTCTTTATAGTAGCATGATTTATAATCCTTTGAGTATATACACAGTAATGGGATCACTGCAAATGGTATTTCTAGTTCTAGATCCTTGAGAAATCGCCACACTGTCTTCCACAATGATGGAACTAGTTTACACTCCCACCAACAGTGTAAAAGCATTCCTATTTCTCCACATCCTCTCCAGCATCTGTTGTTTCCTGACTTTTTAATGATTGCCATTCTAACTAGTGTGAGATGGTATCTCATTGTGGTTTTGATTTGCATTTCTCTGATGACCAGTGATGATGAGCATTTTTTCATGTGTCTGTCGGCTGAATAAATGTCTTCTTTTGAGAAATGTCTGTTCATATCCTTTGCCCACTTTTGGTGGGTTTTTTCTTGTAAATTTGTTTAAGTTTTTTGTAGATTCTGGATATTAGCTCTTTGTCAGATGGATTCACAGCCAAATTCTACCAGAAGTACAAAGAGGAGCTGCTACCATTCCTTTTGAAACTATTCCAATCAACAGAAAAAGAGGGAATCCTCCCTAACTCATTTTATGAGGCCAGCATCATCCTGATACCAAAGCCTGGCAGAGACACAACAAAAAAGGAGAATTGTATACCAACATCCCTGATGAACATCGATGCAAAAATCCTCAATAAAATGTTGGCAAACCAAATCCAGCAGCACATCAAAAAGCTTATCCACCATGATCAAGTTGGCTTCATCCCTGGAATGCAAGGCTGGTTCAACATACACAAATCAATATATGTAATCTATCACATAAACAGAACCAATGACAAAAACCATATGATTATCTCAATAGATGCAGAAAAGGCCTTTGACAAAATTCAACAGCCCTTCATGCTAAAAACTCTCAATAAACTAGGTATTGATGGAACGTATCTCAAAATAACAAGTACTATCTGTGACAAACCCACAGCCAATATCATACTGAATGGGCAAAAACTGGAAGCATTCCCTTTGAAAACAGGCACAAGACAGGGATGCCCTCTCTCACCACTCCTATTCAACACAGTGTTGGAAGTTCTGGCCAGGGCAATCAGGCAAAGGAAAGAAATTATGGGTATTCAGTTAGGAAAAGAGGAATTCAAATTGTCCCTGTTTGCAGATGACATGATTGTATATTTAGAAAACCCCATCGTCTGAGCCCCAAATCTCCTTAAGCTGATAAGCAACTTCAGCAAAGTCTCAGGGTACAAAATCAATGTGCGAAAATCACCAGCATTCCTATACATCAATAACAAACAGACAAAAATCATGAGTGAACTCCTATTCACAATTGCTTCAAAGAGAATAAAATACCTAGGAATCCAACTCACAAAGGATGTGAAGGACCTCTTCAAGGAGAACTACAAACCACTGCTCAACGAAATAAAAGAGGACTCAAACAAATGGAAGATCATTCCATGCTCATGGATAGGAAGAATCAATATCGTGAAAATGGCCATACTGCCCAAGGTAATTTATAGATTCAATGTCATCCCCATCAAGCTACCAATGACTTTCTTCACAGAATTGAAAAAAAAACTACTTTAAAGTTCATATGGAACCAAAAAAGAGCCTGCATTGCCAAGACAATCCTAAGCAAAAGAGCAAAGCTGGAGGCATCAAGCTACCTGACTTCAAAATATACTACAAGGTTACAATAACCAGAACAGCATGGCACTGGTACCAAAACAGATATATAAACCAATGGAGCAGAACAGAGGCCTCAGAAATAACGCCACACATCCATAACCATCTGATATTTGACAAACCTGACAAAAACAATAAATGGGAAAGGATTTCCTATTTAATAACTGGTGCTGGGAAAACTGGCTAGCCATATGTAGAAAGCTGAAACTGGATTCCTTCCTTACATCTTATACACAAATTAATTCAAGATGGATTAAAGACTTAAATATTAGACCTAAAACTATAAAAACACAAGAAGAAAACCTAAGCAATACAATTCAGGACAGAGGCATGGTCAAGGACTTCATGACTAAAACACCAAAAGCAATGGCAACAAAAGCCAAAATAGACAAATGGAATCTAATTAAACTAAAGACCTTCTGCACAGCAGAAGAAACTATCATCAGAGTGAACAGGCAACCTACAGAATGTGATAAAATTTTTGCAATCTACCCATCTGAAAATTCTTTATTGATTGTTTTGTCTTATGCTTCTGGGGAAAAAGTTGCCTTTATCAGATAGAAATTGAAACAAAACAAATGAAGGAGATATACAAACAGAGATAATTATTCTGCCGAAAGTTCTTGTAGTACATAAAAAACTTATAAGTGAAACAGGCAATAAATACTCTTAGAGCCAAACAAATAAATTCTGAAATACTGTATATGCATGCATATATATTTTATATAATATAATTTAGGAAATATTATATACTCATACATACATAAACATATATACTTACATAAATTTAGAAATATTATCCACGCATGCATACAAATATAGGCATATATACATATATGTCCATTTTATGAGCATATCTGAGTCAGCTCCACTTTCTAAGAATTCTTACTAAGCTTAAAATGAGCTATGTTATTTGAAATTAAATGAAATAAGTAATGTAGAGTCATTAATATGTGTGCCAAAACTTTCCATGATAATGATAATAATAATCACTGTTTTATTCGTGAATGAGATACGAAGAAAGCCCCAACATTAGCAATGTGGGCCACTGTTTTTGTTTCCTTTCCATTTAACCCTACATATATATAGTACATAATACTGAATGAAATATATTGATTTCAAAAGAGATTGATAAAGGTTTATAAAGTATTATATTCGGCATGTAAAAATGAAAACGGAACTGTACTATAAGCTGGATTCTAGATGAGAATACTAAATCTGCCATTAATCAACAGTTTTGACCTTTGCTATATTATTTATACTTAGTTTCCTCATATATTACAAAACAGGATTGAATTAAATAGTTTACAAATCCCAGTACATTTCTAAAAATTTTGGTGTCTTTACATAATCGGTATAAAGTTAAAATGTATTTATTTATGTAAGTATCACAATAGTTTATGCCTGTAATATTTTCTTATTCATGCTGGAAGAAGACTGTGTATAAAAATTTGAACTATGGTAGACTAGAAGGGAAGAAACTGCACCAATTGATTGCAAAACCAATTGCAATTTGCATGCCGCTGAGGAGAAATGCCTCAATTTTGTGCTGTCAACAATACTACTCAAGATGTTTAATAGACTATAAGGCAGTGTATCCTTGGATTTAGTATCATATTTTTTATTATACCCTAGAGCTTTCTGATAGTAGTCATTAGAAATAGATTAGAAGAAAAACACCTTACAGACAATTTCTGACATCAATAAAATATATTCTGTATACTTAACAAAACCTCTTTCATTCTTTAGAATCTCATGTTATTTTGTTTTAATTATTTATTTAAAGATTCTCAAAAGACAGCAACTTTTAAGACATGGCATGCTAAATAAAGAATTTAGGTTATTTGTGTTTGCTAATTGGCTTTACCAAAAGGAAAAGTAAACTTTCTTGTATCTTCAAGTCCAGAGGTAGTTTTAAAGTTGGAGATACGTGCCCTCCAAAGTTAGGCTCCCACTTTCTCACAGAAATTGGAAGACAAGAGCATTCTTTTTTTCATGATTACATTTCAAAAGGATGGCTCCAAGGTCCTTGAAAAAAAAACATCATCAGGTTGTCAAGCTTGTAAGAGGCTATTAAAAAGATTTACATCTCAAATTTTTAGATAAATAATTTGTAAGTTCTCTAAAATAAATATTCTAAGAAAAGGGAGTTCAGGGGCTTCAAGTTAGGAAGAAGCCTGTCTAAAGTTTAGTCAAGGTGAGGGGAACTTTAAGACCCCCTTGGTAAGTATTCGTGAGCTTTCTTACACAGTCTTAGAAACAGAATCTTACCAGTTTAATTTTCTCTAAATCTTTCCCTAAATTTTCTATGTTAATATAGCAGCTTAATAATATATTAGTTGATAGATACCTTTTAAACTTAGAATAACAAGATAAATGTGAATGGCTAAACTATTTGATGATCTACATTGACTTATTTTTTTCTGGTGGTATGATAACAAATAGCCTTTAAAGGCCTATTTTTGTTACTAAATGACTTCTTGTCATCACAAAAACAAAATAACAAAGTTTAGGGTAGTAGTTACTGAAAATGATCAAAGTGTCATAGTTTGTCAAACATCTTTTGGAAGCATCAGCTTCATTGGGATTAATTATGTTCATAAATATTACCAATACCAAGGAGTTTAAAGCCACTAATTTGTTCTGTATAAAACATCAGAATTTATCTAATGAGGGCTAGGAACTTCAGGAATGATCTTATAGTTACTAGAAAAATGATAAACAGAGTTGTACCTGTCATTCTTCTCTCTCTGATAGTGCTGTGCTTAGAATCTTTCAGGTTCACCTAAGTAACATCTTAAAATGTGCAGATGCCCTAAGGTCAAATCTCAGCACTCCTCTTGATTTATTACTAAATCATGATCATTTAAAGTAAGAGAGACAACATATCTTGTAGATTTATTACCTCAATGAAATATACATATGCAGATAGAGAAAGGACAGAAAATATTTTTAAAAGAATAACTCATTTAAGCCTCACACTGATTTAAAAGAAAACATTGTATACAGTAATAATTTTATTGTAGACTACAAAAGAACATATTCGTTTTGAAGCTATAGTCTTTGGATATCTGCTACATGAAAACCACTACATAGGCCTACTATTTGATGTCTTATGTTGGAAAGGCTCATTTTCTTGAGTGTTTGGGAGGCTGTTTTAGGGAGAGGGAAGAGTCATAATGGAAATGAGTTGGAAGTCTCTTATATGGTTAAACACATACTATTTAACCTGGGCATTCCACATCCGCATATCCACCCACCCACACTCACATGTTCAAGACAAATGAAAACATATTCATGCAAAAACCTGCACTAGAATGTTTACCATAGCTTTATACATAATTGACAAAATCTGAAAAACACTGGTAGGCAAAAATGGGAAAGTCATTTGTGCTAAATATAGATAATGGGACACTACATAGCAAAGAGAAGAAGTGAACTCTTGATAGAGGAACAATATAGAGGCATCTCCAAAGAGTTATGCTTAATGCAATGAGAAAAATATGACTACATATGTTATCTATTATACATATAGTTTCAGGTATTTGAAATTACAGGAAAAAGCAAAACCATGGTCATGAAAATTAGATTAGTGTTTGCCAAAGTCCAGGGCACGTAGAATAGGGATTCACTGCAAAGTGGCAAAAAGAAAAAGTTTGGGTGATAAATTTTCTATTTTCATTGTTGTGTTAAGAACAATATGGATCCTAAATAGAGATTTTCTTTCTCTGGCTTCAATGCCTTGGTCAATGCCTTTGTCCTTTGGCTCACAGGTTGTCTAATTTGTCATCACAGATGTTTGTGTAACATCTCTTGGCCCAAGGTATGCATACTATTTCAAGGAGGTGGGACAATGGGGACTTATCCTGCCATACGCTAGTCACCTAGAAGCTGAAAAACATGTTGAAACATTTTTTAAGGTGCCGCTAAAGAAACAAATTAATAAGAGCAGTATTCTTCATAGTTGGAGCATTGCCTTTCTACATGAGATACATATTTTAAAGCAATGCTCATTAAATAGCTGTGACCCCAATAGCTAAAACGCAAGGATTACTGGTTCTGCTTCTTAGAATTGAACAATTTTGTACAAGCCAACAACTTGGACAAATTAGGAATAATAATAACAGTATTCAAAGATGTATGCTACAGAGGCATATAATAGAGACTTAACACAATTAAAGCCTACCATATACTTCAAACAACAGTAATTCTTTAGACATTTCCAGTCACCTTCCTGTCACCATCACTTTCATTTTGTCAGTTGTTTTTCATTGATCTAGACCTTCTTTTCATCTGCTAGTCATAGTTTCTATAGGTTTAGTAAGAACTTTCTTTCTCTTGAGTGTTCTTTAAAATTTTCAAATCAATTCAATTTTTGATTAATTCATCTTTGCCTATAACACTATCTTATACTACAAAATCATTTATTTCCTAAATTATTAAACAGAGCACTGGGAAGCTGTAGGGGTGCTCCGTAAACTGGTGTTATTTTCACTTTCAGTTTTTTTTTTTTTTTTTCAGAGCATAACCATAAACACAGAGCTTGGTATCTTTTCCCTGGTTAAAATAAATCAAAACATGTAGGGACACTTTGCTAGTAAAGAGCATAGCTACCACTCAGATTTTGGTTTCTAATATTATTCTTCAATAAAAGGAGCCAGGACTCCTTGAAGAAAGTCTGGTTGTAGGACTGAAGCAAAAAATAAACAAGATAATCCTGGAACACTCACACCCACAAACGGACATTGATAGAAATATATCAAAGTGGCACAGGAACCAGCCCACTGAAGGAGTTCCTGTTGGTCAATGCTAGAATAATTTAAGCAATAAAATTAATAAAATAGTATTTGATAAGGTCCATAGTGTAAAATAAAATAAATATGTGTGATTCCATACTCATATAAATAAATGGTTGAATATATTAACCATTAGGAAATAGTAGATAAATCACTCATGCAGTAGAATTCCAAATAATCTATGTACAGTAGTCTTCCCTTATCTACGGAGGATACATTCCAAGACCTCCAGTGGATGCCTGAAACCACAGGTACTACAAAACCCAATTTGTTTTTACCAGTTGGAACACTTTTCTGTTCATCTCTTTTGCCCATAAATTAATGCCTTTTCCACCTAACTAAGTACTTATCATGCACTGTGACCACGACTTTTGCAGTTTGAGGCACAACAGCAAAACTAGCACAAATTTTCTTTTTCTCCTTCACAATTTTACAGGTAGTAATTTGTTCTTACCTTAGATCTTAACAATCTCAGCATAGGATACTTTTTCTCTCCTTATTAAGTCAAAAACATCCACCTTTTTACTTCAAGGAAGCACTTTATAGTTTCTCTATGGCATATCTAAATTGCCAACCTCACTACTCTTGGACTTGTGACCACTGTTAAATAAAATAATGGTTAATAGAACACATGCTTTACAATACCATGACAGTCAATCTGATAACCCAGGGGGCTACTAAGTGACTGCTGAGCAGGCAGCATTACAGCATGGACATGCTGGACAAAAGGATCATTCATGTCCTAGATGGGATAGAGTGGGGTGGTGCAAAATTTAATCACTGTTACTCAAAACAGGACACAATTTAAACTGTATGAGTTGTTTATTTCTGGAACTTTCCATGTAATGTTTTTGGACTATAGTTGACTACAGGTAACTGAAACTATGAAAAGTGAAACCATGGATAAGGGGGACTATTACCTTCAGGAAGGGGCAAATTACTCCCCACTATTTAAGTGTGGAATGCATATAGTGACTTCCTTCTAGAAAGGATGGAAGAAAATGAAGAGAAAATGTAGAGAAACCTGACAAACACTACCTGAGCCAGATGTCAGTATCAACAATTATACATCATGTTGATAATATATATCCTTAACATGCTGGAGGAAAATGAACCATTACCTCTGTGATTTTCCTTTCAAAAATATATAACCTCAAGTCGAATCATAAGAAAAACATCAGGCAAATTTCAACGGAGGCTTATCCTATAGAATACCTAACCAATACTCCTCAAAAGTATTCACGTTATCAAAAACCAGGAAAATCTTAGAAACTGTCTCAGCCAAGAACAGCCAAAGAGAAACATGACAACAAAATGAAATGTTGTGTCTGAATGAGATCCTGCAACAATAACAACAAACAACAAATTGTATTAGATAGAATTTAAGATAATCTGATTATATCATGTATCAATATTGGTTCATTAATTGTAACAAATATATCTGACTAATAAAAGGTATTAATAATAAGGGAAATTGAGTACAAGATAAATGGGTACCATTTACTATCTTCTAAATTCTGTGTACTAAAACTATTTCTAAAAATAAAGCCTATTGAAAAAAAATATATATACAGAGTATAGTCATTTAGTATTCTATACTTACCTTCAATACTACACATCCTTTTGTACAATTTCTCAAATTGTTATTAAATTAATATGAATAATATTTAACAATCTGCTAAGTTAGAAAATACTTGAAAATAGAATCGATATGGGATTTTAGCATATTACTGCAGTAGATTCTAACAAAAGTTTATCAAAGAACAATTTCATCCTGAAACTTCACATATACAATTTACTGAAGATTAAATACAGTTAAAACAATGGGAAAAATGCACAGAAAACAACTTATTATTTACTATTAATTATAAAAATGAAAAAGCTGGATTTGAAAGGTCTCCAGTTAAATACTTCTATTTCATTCCAATTTGCTGGAAGTGAATTACCTAACTATGAATTCTCATATATTTCATCAAAGTCATGAATGTGTCACATTATTTTTCAGATTAAGTGTAAATGTTTTCTAATTTCATAAGATGCCTCTTCTGGAAGTAGATTCCTCTTTTACTTTCTGCTGATGAGCAGAGATGACTCATGTTTGTTAAAATCTGTTTTATGCAGTTTGTCTCAATGCTAAAGTTGTTTTGTACCTACATTTTCAAGGTAGTATTGTGTCTACATACCCATGTTCCCACGTTAAATAAGCTGTATTTTAAGCAAGTCCTAATTTATGCTGAGCTAAAGAAAGAGTGAAGAAAGAAGAGCTCGTTTAATGTGTGAGCTTAACATACGATGTCAGCTCCAAAACATTTTGCATTTATTACCTCAAAAATGTATCAGCTTTGGAATATATACACACATACACACACACGTGCACGCACACACTCACACGTGCACACACAGTATAGGCATACTTCTTGCTGATCTCAATGGAATAGAAAAATAAATGATTGAAGCACAATGAATAAGAGGCCTAAGATTATTTTGAATAGACATGTATCTCATACAATATTAAGGTAAAGATAATGTAGATTTAAAAACAATTTTTGTTATTCATAAGTTTAAAAATCAGAATGTTTTTATATAGATCTTAATAGTTGCTTTATCATTCCTATCCACACCATTTGCATATAATTCAATCTATTTCCTAATGTAGAGACATACATTTTCTAATAATATTGTCTCTTTGAAAACAATGGAGCACTATAAGTGACAAAATGCTTTATATAATTATGATTATGGTGAATTTTTTAAACATCAATATTTTTGTTTTTATGAATATATTACTTTGCCAATGTTAAATACACAGCAATGCAAAATTATACTTTTTTGTCTATCAAAAGTGATACATAGAATTTCTAGTAATCTCACTTCAAGAATAATGAATTTTAGCATACACATAATTATAATTTAAATTTTATCCTCAATGATATATTAAAAATTAAAGAAAATCATCAATTTGACAGCATCAACTCAGTTTTTTGTTTCCTAATTGAAAATAGAAAAAACTGTCTTTTACTCTATGAATATTCTAATCATTTATCCAATCGTTAAAATTAATAAATGTTTCACTTTAATAGCATTTGAGGCAATTATTTTCTATTACCTCTTATATACAGCAACAATTCTAAACTTATTTTAAAAGTGCTTCTTTCAGCTTCTTTATAATTTTACCAAAATATTTGATAATTTAACTCTACATCCTCATTTTAAAAATTCTCTTAGAATTCTTGGCAGACTATTGATTATTTTATCGCAAGAATGGTTATCTGTTCATTTAGTACTATGCCTGCACATAGTGCATATTTATCAAATATGTTGCATTAATTAATCAATGAAAAATTGATTTATAAGCTGCATTACAGTTAATGAAGTTATAACTGGAAAATGTTTTTCATATTTATTAATTTTTCAAGATTTCCATTATCTTCTAGAATGCATCAAACCTAAAGATTTTCTCTATGCTTTTCCATTTCTCTTTGGTATTATTAATTACAAAAATAGTTATTTAATCCATCTTACAATTTTCTTTTTGTTAATAAATTATTTTTACATAAACTATATGTGATGATATCTGCTATACAGAACGTAAGATGTGCTTCAGATTGAGAGCGAAGCACTGAGTAACAACTGCTGCAACAGAGTCATGTGAAGGAGATTGGAAATTCTGGGCTCATAGTAACCTGTGATAGAGGCATTAGGTAAACAAAATATATGAATCTTGAAATTCCATAAGACATGGAAACCACATACATTTTTTGAGTAATGGTATATGACATCTTCTCATGGAAGACAAGTCATTTTTCTGTTTTGTTTTGTCTTTTGTTTTTCTAGTTAGAACTCTCCCTAATTTCTGGAACCCATAGCACCTACATTTACAAATCTGTGTGACACAGATAGAAAACACTTGCCATTTTCTCCTAAATTTTATAATTCTAAGAAGTTTCTATTTTTGTGTAAGTAAAGAGAAAATAAAAAATTTAACTAAAGTAAAATTAGATTCAACTCATGGCTCCAGATTTTGATGGTAGAGTTCTCATAATATAACCCATTTCATTTTATAAAGCTGTTATTTTATAATGTCATAACAATATTTTGTTTCACAGTTGTTTGAAGGTTGTACAGCTTTTAAAATTTACTATAAATTTATGGGTTTTGTATTCTGAACTGTTATTACATAGATCTCAGATGTCACATGGTTGGGAAAAAATATTTTCAGAATATTTGGGCCCTGTATATTTGCACAAAATGCTTCCTGTATCATTGACACCTTATGTGTCACTTAAGACACAGCTAAAGTACCATAATTCCTTAGCTGTCCCCATCTCCATTTAGCTTTAGGTCCCTTCTTTGTAAATCTCCTACACCTGGTATGTTACCAGGTACATAACACATGTTCAATATAGGTTTTATAATGACTGAATAATTCTCTTAACTTTTATTTACTTTAAAATATTATTCATGTGCCATCATTCTTTACTAAAAGAGGGGAATGGAACTCACATAGATATAATTATTTGCCCACCAGGAATGACATTGAGAGTGGGCAAGCAGTATCTGATTGCATGTCAGTAATACAATTCCTAAGTCATATTTAAACAATACCTAAAAAATTTAGAATAATCTCTATATATCTTTGGTCTTGGGGTATTTTTTAAAATTTATGTAAAACAAAAAAATAGTATGTTGTACTAAATTGTTATCTAAAATATTAGTTTCACAGTTGTTTGAGGCATTAATATGAATTGTGCAAAATTTTTTGAGAAATGATACTTTGTTAATGAATATTTTTGAGATACACTGGATTAAATTAATACAGACAGGGTTTTTTGCTGTAATGGTCTACCACATGAAAATATACCAGGCTACATGGAGAACTGACAGGAATCAGCTTTAGCCATCACTAATTGCTATAACAAAGTACCAGAGACTGGGTGACATAAACAACAGAAATTTGTCTCTCACAGTTTTGGAGGTTGTGAAGTCCAAGATCAAGGTGCTGACATAGTTAGTGTCTGGTAAAGACCTACTTCCTCATAGACAACAATCTTCTCACTGTAAATTCACATGGCAGAACTGGCTATGGGTCTCTCTCAAGTCTCCCTTATAAAAGCACTAATTGGCCAGTTGCGCTGGCTCACGCCTGTGATCCCAGCACTTTGGGAGGCTGAGGTGGGTGAATTACCTGAGGTTGGGAGTTCGAGACCAGCCTGGCCAACATTGTCAAACCCTGTCTCTATGAAAAATACAAAAATTAGCTGGGCATGGTGGCACCTGCCTGTAATCCCAGCTACTCAGAAGGCTGAGGCAGGAGAATTGCTTGAGCCTGGGAGGCAGAGGTTGCAGTGAGCCGAGATTGTGCCACTGCACTCCAGCCTGGCTGACAGAGCGAGACTCTGTCTCCAAAAAATAACAATAATAATAATAAAATAAAGGCATTAATCACCTTGCAAGGTGTCCCTACTTGCCCACTTTCAAGACCCCCCTTCTTCCTAGTACCATCACACTGGGGAAGATTTCAACATATAAATTTTTTGGCAGGGGCATTAACATTCAGCCAACAGCAGTGCTTTACATATATTAATTTACCTATTCCTTACAATAACCCTTGAGGTAGGTATGCTATTTTCTCTGTTCTAAAGAAGAGACATTAACACACCATAAGGGTGTAAATTGCCAAAGGTTATCATGTTAATAAGAGGCAGAACCTGAATTCAAATGCAGTAAGTCTCGCTCCAGAGCTTTATCCTAAACTCTTCCATTCAATTTCTATTAAAATGGAAAATTATTTTATTTTTGTGTTCAAATTCTCATTTGGAATTCATATTGATTACAATCAGTATCACTGACAAAAAAATCAAGATAGCATTGTTAATGAATATTCATAAATGTGTTACTATTCTTTCAAATTCATCAAATGTAAACTTAGTTGCATTCTTAAATATAAATGTATAACAATTACAGATAGATTTTTAAAGTTAAAATACACTTTTGGTTATTACAAATTTTAAAAGGCAAATGTACTTACGAGAATTTGATGAAACTTAATTACCATATTTGGTTATGAAGAAATCTCTACACTAAAAGCTTTTGGGCTTTGCCTAGAGTACATATTCTATTTTGTTTAGACCACTATTATAAGTCAAAATATAATGATGATGAGCAGTTGAGTGCTTCCTTATAACCGAGCCTTTATTAAACATTTTATATAACATAATGCTTTATTGAGGTTTCAGAACAACTCAGGGAAGTAGACAAAAAGACTGCTTTCTTTAACCTGTGATGATACTGGGTTGAAAGAAGCTAGGAAGCTAAGTGTTAAAATGAAGAAAACAAGATTTTGCAAAACTGCATATTTAGTCTAAGACTAAACAGCTAACACGTAACAGAACTGATATGCATCTATATATACATACACACACTGTTCTATATGAGAGTGATACATCATTCTCTTAATAATCACATGTAGGCCAGGCGCGGTGGCTCACGCCTGTAATCCCAGCACTTTGGGAGGCCAAGGTGAGCGGATCATGAGGTCAGGAGATTGAGACCATCCGGCTAACATGATGAAACCCCGTCTCTACTAAAAATACAAAAAATTAGCCGGGCGTGGTGGCAGGTGCCTGTAGTCCCAGCTACTTGGGAGGCTGAAGCAGGAGAGTGGCTTGAACCCGGGAGGTGGAGCTTGCAGTGAGCCGAGAGCTAGCCACTGCACTCCAGCCTGGGCGATACAGCGAGACTCCGTCTCAAAAAAAAAAAAAAAAAATCATATGTAACATTTTTTTTCTCATTTATAGCCAAATATGCCAACTTAATGTTTTCCTTTTAATTATTCTCTTTGAATAAAAAGTTTTAAGTTTGATGATTTCTTGCAATTTTTTTCTTTAAATTTTATTTTATTATTATTATTATTTTGAGATGGAGTCTCACTCTGTCACCGAGGCTGGAGTGCAGTGGCTCCATCTCGGGTTACTGCAACCTCCTTCTCCCAAGTTCAAGCAATTCTCCTGCCTCAGCCTTCCGAGTAGCTGGGATTACCGGTGCCTGCCACCATCCCCGCCTAATTTTTGTATTTTTAGTAGAGACAGGGTTTCACCATGTTGGCCAGGCTGGTCTCAAACACCTGACCTCATGTGATGTGCCTGCCTCGGCCTCCCAAAGTGCTGAGATTAAAGGCATGAGCCACCATGCCTGGCTCAATGTCATTTTATATATACATATATATCAAATAAGCAATACACAGTGCAAACTTCATCACCTTTCATTTTATCACTATTTAAATAGAGACATACAATGCAAATATTCAGCAATTATTTTCCAAATTATTTTAGTATTCTTTGCACTATAGTTTTTAATATGTGTAGGTAACACAAATTGTAAAGAATTTTGTGGCAGAAGTTGTGTCTACTATGCATTGCACTTAATTCAAATCGTGTATGTAGTGAACATTAAATGTGTGTGTATTCAATTAAAGTGAAATGGAATTGTCAGAAATTAATTGAAATAATGGAAATTTTTTCTGACTACAAAGAGTTAAATTTGACCAAAAACCTGAACTTGCCAACAGATTAGTCTCAACCAAAGCTGCAAAAGCAATGATATATAGTGATATACTTAATTGTCACATATATTGTTTATTTAAATCTGAGTCTTAAAAGTAATTTAACTTAAGTAAAACAAATTCTGCTGACATGCCTTGAGCATTTCAAGCTTTAATGATGTCTTGCACCACAGTGTAATTAACAGTAGCCATGATATATAACAATGCTCTGTTTTCTAGTGCTATAAACAGAAGGCTTATTCCAGATTGCTTGTTAAGGTACACACAGTATCAAAGTACACCAGATGAAACAACCCCCTAGTAACCACGTAATGAGATAAAGACATCTGTAACATAATTCTAGAACTTTGAATGTGAACATTTAGTCTTTGTAATGGTGCAGATGGGATTATCACCATCTCCATAGACACAGTTATTGGAAATAGACCAGCCTCCATTCCTTCTAGATCACTACTAGATAAATCATGTTTGCCTTCAACCACAAGAAAACCTCAAAGTTAATGAAAAATCTTAATGCTAATAATTATCACAACCCTAAAGTAAAATACAAATATTTCTTATAGCTGTAATAGAATACAAATTGAGGACATTATAATAATTATACTAATTTGATGCATAATTTTAGAAAAATTAAAGTCATGTGAGAA
This sequence comes from Homo sapiens, assembly GCF_000001405.40. Lineage (NCBI taxonomy): Eukaryota > Metazoa > Chordata > Mammalia > Primates > Hominidae > Homo > Homo sapiens. The sequence continues at coordinate 131,442,258 of NC_000004.12, read as the reverse complement.
ACATATCCACTATTCACTATATTTAGAGAGATGTAAATATCTGGCAGATAAATGGGGGATTTACCCATATATATCTAACTTACAAAAATGGGTGTCATTTCAGTTCATATAGTACAATAAATTTCTAATATTAAGAATTCTAAGGCCACTTATTTATTGATATATTGGTGGGAAAAACGAAGGGATACATATTGTGCCTTTCACTGTGTTAAACCTGTTTTTTGATAAAGTATATATGCATTGGAAAAGTTAAAGTATTTAAAAAAATCTGCCTACATATTCTTTTTTAAGTAATTATTAATCTAACTAATAATACATTTAGAGTATGGTTATAAGACTTTTTTTCATTTCAAATCAATATTCATAATTTGAAAATAATATGCTACAATTCTCATTTAACTTTTCTTTATTTTTTTCTTTATAACCTACACATATTAATACAAATTGTGGATTTTCAAAAAATAGAGCAAATTGCTCTATTTTTTGAAAATCGTCACAGAGACGAACGGAAAGGGCAAGTGAATACAGCACCTTCAACTGAAATATCCAGGTTCTTGGATTGGGACTGATTAGGAAAAAACTGGACACATGGAGAACAAAGAAAAGTAGGGTGGGTGGGACAATGACCCATGCAGGAGTGACACAGAGCCAAAGGAACCCCCACTCCCAGCCAAGGGAAGCGATAAGTGACTGCAACCCCTGGTAACCACATTTCTCTCAGAGATCTTTGCAACCTGCAGATCAGGAGATCCCCTTCTGAGCCCATGCTACAAAAGCCATGGGTCTGACACACAGAACAGTGTGAAATCTTGACAGAGCAGCTGCTCAGCCAAGCACAGAGACTCAAGAGCTTTACAAATTCCTTCCTTAGGATCCCCCACAAAGGTGTCTGCAATTCAGGCAAGGCGGGAGGTCCGCACGTACCCTTAGGAATGGGGCAGAATCCAGGGAACTGAGCAGTGTCATTCCGTGGGCCCCACTTCCAGGACACCTCACAAGATAAGATGCACTGGCTTGGAATTCCAGCCAGCCACAGGCAACAGGGTGAAACCTGTCTGAGACTCAGCAAAGCCCTAGGGGGTGGGGCAGGTGCCATCACTGCTGTTTGGTCAACTCAGCTGTTCCAGTCTGCGGGCTTTGGAGAGTCCAAACATCTGGATGAAGAGGGGTCCCCTGAGCAACACAACACAGTGGCTTTGGCAGATAGCGGCCAGAATGCTTCTTTAAGTGGGACCTGATCCATTTCTGGTCACTGGGGAGGATGTCCCAACCAGACCCTCCGGCCATGCCCACCAGCATGTATTAGTGACAGAGCTCTGATCTTCCTCTGGGATGGAGTTGCCAGGGAAGGGGAGTTGTCCACCGGGTTGGTTGGACAACTCAGCCATTTAGCCTGTGGGCTTTGGAGAGTTCAAGCTGATAGGGGCAGAAGTGATCCCCACCATGACACAGCTGGTTTGTCAAGGAGTGGCCAGATTGCTTCTTTTAGTGGGACACCATTCCACTCCTCCTCACAGGGTAGGTCCTCCCAGCCAGGGCATCTGGCCACTCATGACTGTGTTCTTCCTGGGACAGAGTGACTGAGGGGTAGGGCAGGCCACCACTTTGGCCTTTCGGGCTTCTCAGTTGGTCCAGGCTGTGGGCCTTGGAAAGTCCAAATGGATAAGGGGCTCAAGGGATTCCCAACACAGCACAGATGCTCTACCAAAAACCAGCTGGACTGCTTCTTTAAGCGAGTCCCTGATCCCATTCCTCCTGACTAGGTGAGACCTCAGAACAGGGGTCTCCAGCCACCTACAACAGTCATGTTTGGCCTGGCAATAGGTCAGTATCCCCCTGGGATAAAGTTTCCAGAGGAAGTTGCAGACTGTCATCTTTGCTGTGTCACAGACTTTACTGGTGAGATCACCAGGTACAGAAAAAAACTGAGGCAACTAGAGTCTGGAATGGAGCCCTAGTAAACTGTGCAGCCCTACAGAAGAATGGCCAGACAGTTAAAAGAAAAACAAACAGAAAACAACAACAACAAACCACAAAAACCCCATTCAAAGAGCAGAAATCTTTAAGATGGAAGGTAGATAAGCCAACAAAGATGGGAAAGAATCAATGCAAAGAACACTGAAAACTTAAAAAATCAGAGTGCCCCTTTTCCTGCAAATGACCGCAACACCTCTTCATCAAGAGCTCAGACCTGAGATGAGGCTGAGGTTGCTGAAATGACAGAAGTAGGCTTCAGAAGATGAATAATAACAAACTTCACTAAGCTAAAGGAGCATGTTGTAACCCAATGCAAATAAGCTAAGAATCATGATAAAACAATACAGGAGCTGACAGCCAAAATAGCCAGTTCAGAGTGGAATATAATTGACCTGTTAGATCTAAAAAACACACTATAAGAACTTCACAATCACAAGTATTAATAGCAGAAAGGACTGAGCAGAGGACTTGAAGGCCATCTTTCTGAAATAAGACAAGCAGACAAGAATAGAGACAAAAGAATGAAAAAGAATGAACAAAACCTCTGAGACATACAGTATTATGCAAAGAGTCTGCATCTATGACTGATTTGGGGTACCTGAAAGAGATGGGGAGAATAGAACCAAGCTGGAAAACATATTTTAGGATATCATCCAGAAAAACTTCCCCAACCTAGCAATACAGGCCAACATTCAAATTCAGGAAATGCAGAGAACCCCAGTAAGATGCTCCACGAGAAAATCATCACCAAGACACACAATATTAGATTCTCCAAAGGCAAAATGAAAGAAAAATGTCAAGGCCAGCCACAGAGAAAGGCCAGGTAACCTACAAAGGGAAACCCATCAGACTAACAGTGAACTTTTCAGCAGAAACCCTATAAGCTAGAAGAGATTGGGGGCCAATATTTAACATTCTTAAAGAAAAGAAATTCCATCCCAAATTTCATATTGGGCCAAACTAATCTTCATAAGCAAAAGAGAAATAAGATGCTTTTCACACAAATAAATGCTGAGGGAATTTATTACCACCAAACCTGTCTTGCAAGAGCTCCTGAAGGAAGCACTAAATATGGAAAGGAAAAACCATTGGCAGCCACTACAAAAACACATTTAAGTATACAGACCAGTGACATTATGAAACAACCACATAAACAAGTCTGAAAAATAATCAGCTAGCATCATGATGACAGAACCAAATTCACACATAACAATACTAACTTTAAATGGAATGGGCTAAATGCCCCAATTAAAAGACACAGACTGGCAAGCTGAATAAAGAACCAAGACTCATTGGTATGCTGTCTTTAAGAGAACCCATCTCATATGCAGTGACACACATAGGCTCAAAAGAAAGGGATGGAGGAAAATTTACCAAGCAAATGGCAAGTAGAAAAAGCAGGGGTTGCAATCCTACTTTCTGGCAAAACAGACTTTAAACCAACAAGGATAAAAAAAGACAAAAAAAGGACATTACATAAGGGTAAAGACTTCAATTCAACAAGAAGAGCTAACTATCCTAAATATATATGCACCCAATACAGAAGCACCCAGATTTATAAAGCAAGTTACCAGAAAAGTTCAAAGAGACTTAGACTCCCACACAATAACTGTGGGAGACTTTAACACCCACTGACAATATAAGTGAGATTATCAAGACAGAAAATTAACAAAGACATTCAGGACTTGAACTCAGCTCTGGATCAAGTGGACCTGATAGATATCTACAGAACTCTCCACCCCAAAACAACAGAATATGCATTCTCCTCATCACCACATGGCACGTACTCTAAAATTGATCACATAATTGGAAGTAAAATACTCCTCAGAAAATGCAAAAGAACTGAAATCATAACAAACAGTCTCTCAGACCACAGCACAATCAAATTAGAATTCAGGACTTAAAAATTCACTCCAAACCACACAACTACATAAAAACTGAACAATCTGCTCCTGAAAGACTCCTGGGTAAATAATAAAATTAAGGCAGAAATCAAGTGGTCCTTTCAAACTAATGAGAACAGAGATAACATACCAGAATCTCTGGGACACAACTAAAGCAGTATTAAGAGGAAAATTAATAGCACTAAATTCTCACATCGAAAGGCTAGAAAGATCTCAAGTTAACAACCTAACATTACAACTAAAAGAACTAGAAAACCAAGAGCAAACAAACCCTGAAGCTAGCAGGAGACAAAAAATAATTAGGATTATTGCTGAACTGAAGGAGATAGAAACATGAAAAACAATTCAAAAAAATCAACAAAGCCAGGAGCTAGATTTTTGAAAAAATTAAGAAAACAGATAGGCTTCTAGCTAGAATAAAAATAATAAAAGAGAAGATTCAAATAAACACAATCAGAAATGAAAAAGGAGATATCACCACTGATCCCACAGAAATACAAACAGTCATCAGAGAATACCACAAACACTTCTATGAAGACAAACTGGAAAATCTGGAAGAAAGGAACAATTTTCTGGACACATTCATCTTTCTAAGACTGAATCCGAAAGAAATTGAATCCCTGAATTGACCAATAATGAATTCTGAAATTGAGTCAGTAATATAGCCTACCAACCAAAAAAAGCTCAGGACGAGAAGGATTCACAGCTGAATTCTACTATTGTTATAAGAAAGAGTTGATACCATTTCTATTGAAACTATTGCAAAAAATTGAAAAGGAGGGACTCCTCCCTAACTCATTCTATGAGGCCAGCATCATCCTGATACCAAAACCTGGCAGAGATACTACACATGCACACATACAAAACTTCAGGCCAATATCCCTGATGAACATCAATGCAAAATTCCTGAACAAAATGCTGGCAAACCAAATTCAGCAGCACATCAAAAAGCTTATCTCCACAATCAAGTAGGCTTCATCCCCAGGATGCAAGGTTGATTCAACATATGCAAATAAATAAATGTGATTCATCACATAAACTGATCTAAAGAGAAAAACCACATGATTATCTCAAGAGATGCAGAAAAGGCCTTTGATGAAATTCAACATCCCTTCATGTTAAAAAGTCTCAATAAACTAAATATTGAAGGAACATCCATCAAAATAATAAGAGACATCTATGACAAACCCACAGACAATATCCTACTGAATGGGCAAAAGCTGGAAGCATTCCCCTGGAAACCAGCACAAGACAAGGATGCTGTTTTTCACCACTCGTATTCAATGTAGTCCAGGGCAATCAGGCAAGAGAAAGAAATACTGGAATTCAAATAGGAAGAGAGAAACGCAAACAATCTTTGTTTGCAGATAACATGATCTCATATCTAGAATACCACATAGTTTCAGCCCAAAAACTTCTTAAGCTGATAAGCAACTTCAACAAAGTCTCAGGATACATAATCAATGTGCAAAAATTGCTATTATTCCTATACACCAACAATGGGCAAGCCAAGAGTCAAATCATGAAAAAACTCCCATTCACAATTGCCACAAAAATAATAAAATACCTATGAATATAGCTAACAAGGAAAATGAAGTATCTCTTCAAGGAGAGCTACAAACCACTGCTCAAAGAAATCAGAGATGACACAAACAAATGAAAACACATTCTATGCTCTTGGATGGGAAGAATCAATTTTTTTTTCTTTTTTTAATTATACTTTAAGTTCTAGGGTACATGTGCGCAACGTGCAGGTTTGTTACATAGGTATACATGTGCCATGTTGGTGTGCTGCACCCATTAACTCATCATTTACATTAGGTACATCTCTTATACTATCCCTCCCCCCTCCCCTCACCCCACAACAGGCCCCAGTGTGTGATGTTCCCCTTCCTGTGTCCAAGTGTTTTCATTGTTCAATTCCCACCTATGAGTGAGAACATGCGGTGTTTGGTTTTTTGTCCTTGCGATAGTTTGCTGAGAATGATGGTTTCCAGCTTCATCCATGTCCCTACAAAGGACATGAACTCATCCTTTTTTTGTGGCTGCATAGTATTCCATGGTGTATATGTGCCACATTTTCTTAATCCAGTCTATCATTGATGGACATTTGGGTTGGTTCCAAGTCTTTGCTATTGTGAATAGTGCCACAATAAACATACGTGTGCATGTATCTTTATAGCAGCATGAAGAATCAACATTGTGAAAATGGCCATGTTGAAGACACCATATGCAATTGCAACAAGAGCAAAAATTGCCCAAAGCAATTTATAGATTCAATGCTATTCCCATTAAACTACCATTGACATTCTTTACAGAATTAGAATAAAACTATTTTAAAATTTATATGGAACCAAAAAAAGAGCCCAAATAGCCAAGACAATCCTAAGGAAAAAGAACAAAGCTGGAGGCATCATGCTACCCAACCTCAAATTATACTACAAACCTGCAGTAACCAAAACAACATGGTACTGGTACAAGAACAGACACGTAGACCAACGGAACAGAATAGAGAACCAAGCCATAAGACTGCACACCTACAATCATCTGATCTTCCACGAACCTGACAAAAACAAGCAGTGGGGAAATGATCCCCTATTCGATAAATGGTGCTGGGAGAACTGGCTAGCCATAAACAGAAGATTGAAACTGGACCCCTTCCTTACACTGTATACAAAAATCAACTCAAGATGGATTAAATAATTAAATATAAAACCCTAGAAGACTATCTAGTCGATACCATTTAGGACATAGGCACCCGCAAAGATTTCAGGTTGAAGACACCATATGCAATTTCAACAAAAGCAAAAATTGATGAATGGGATCTAATTAAACTAAAAAAATTTTGCACAGCACAATAAACTATCAGCAGAGTGAATAGACAACCTACAGAATGAGAGAAAATTTTTGCAATCTATCCATCTGAAAAAGGTCTAATATCTAGCATCTACAAGGAAGTTACACAAATTTGCAAAAAAAAAAACCATTAAAAATTAGACAAAAGACATGAACAGACACTTCTCAAAAGAAGACATACATGCAGACAACAAACATATGAAAAAAAGCCCAACAAAATCACTGGTCATTAGAGCAATGCAAATTAAAACCACAATGAGATAGGAATATGGTTTGTCTCTGTGTCCCCACTCAAATCTCATGTCAAATTGTAATTCCCACATGTCAAGGGAGGGACCTGTAATTTCCCCTTGTAGAGGAAGGGGGGTGATTGGATCATGGGAGCTGTTTTCCCCATGCTATTCTTGCGATAGTGGGTGAATTCTCATGAGATCTGATGGATTTAAAAGTAGCAGTTTTTTTCCTGTGTACTCACTTCTCTCTCACCTGCGGCCATGTAAGATGTGCCTGCTTTCCCTTCCACCATGACTGTAAATTTGCTGAGGCCTCCCAGCCATGTCAAACTATAAATAAATTAAACCCCTTTTCTTTATAAATTACCTGGTCTCAGGTAGTTCTTTATATCAATGTGAGAATGGACTCATACAGATACCATCTCAAACCAGTCAGAATGGATAATATTAAAAAGTCAGAAAAGAACAGATACTGGCAAGGTTGTGGAGAAAAAGGAATGCTTTTACACTGTTGGTAGGAGTTGTAAATTACTTCAACTATTGTGGAAGACAGTGTGGTGATTCCTCAAAGACCTAGAGGCAGAAATACCATTTGACCCAGCAATCCCATTACTTGCTATACCCAAAGGAGCATAAAATATTATAAAGATAAATGCACATTTATGTTCACTGAAGCACTATTTACAGTAGCAAAGACATTTAACCAACTTAAATGCCCTTCAATGATAGACAGGATAAAGAAAATGGGGTACATATACACGATGGAATACTATGCAGTCATAAAAAGGAACAAGATCATGTCCTTTGCAGGAATATGGATGGAGCTGGAAGCCATTATCCTTAGCAAACTAACACAGGAACAGAAAACCAAATGCTACGTGCTCTCACTTATAAGTGGGAGCTGAATGATGAAAGCACATGGACACATAATGTGGGGGACAACACACACTGGAGCCTGTCAGAGGGTCAGCGGGGAGAGGAGGGAGAACATCAGGAAGAATAGCTAAAAGATGCTGGGTTTAATACCTAGGTGATAGGATGATTTGCGCAGCAAATCACCATGGAACACATTTTCCTATGTAACAAACCTGCACGTCCTGCACATGTACTCCTGAACTTAAAATTAAAAAGTACAAAAAAAACTAATTAAAAATGAGCTGAACATATATCTTGCTAAAGAAGATGTAAGGATAAAAAATAAACATACAAAAAGATGTTCAACTTCTTATGTTATAGGAAATTGCAAATTTAAACAAAAATGAGATTCCACTACATATGTTTAGAAATGTTAAAATCCAAAATACTATCAACAGCAAATGCTGGCGAAGATGTACGGTAACAGGAACTCTCATTTGCTACCACTGGGAATGCAAAATGATACAGCCACTTTGGAATACAGGTTGGTTATTTCTTATAAATCTAAACCTGTTCTTACTAATTGAACCCAGCAATCATGTTTCTTCCTGTTTACCCAAATTGAAAATTTGGTAAGTTGAAAACTAATGTCAAAATAAAAACATGCATACAAACATTTGTAGAAGCTTTATACATAATTGCCAGAATCTGGGAGCAACCAGGACATCTTTCAATAGGTGAATGGCTAAACAATCTGTGATATATCCATACAGTAGAATATTACCCAAAGATAAAAAGCAATCAACTCTAAAAACATAAAAAGACATAGAGGAACCTTAAATATGTATTGTTAAGTTAAAGAAACCAGTATGAAAATGCTATGTAATGTATTCTGCTTATTTTTCTGTAAACCTAAAACAGTTCTAAAAATAAAGTCTATGAATGAAGAAAATTCTTTGTAGTACATTAACTTTTAAATTTTTTATTCTTATTTATATGGCATTTTGTATTTTTAGGTTTGTAATAATTTAACCTTTCAATTTGTTTCTTTTCAACAGTTTTATTATAGCAGAAGTATAATTGATACAAAACACTGCACATATTCAATGTATACATGTTAATGAGTTTGGACATATGCATATAACCATGAGACCATCACCACAACCAAGATAATAAATGTATCCATCATCTCCAAAGGTTTGTTGGGCCTTTATTCCTATTAGTGGTAAAAACACTAACCACAAAAAGGGAGAGTTAACAGGGCTGGTGTTAACAGGGCTGTTAACAAATTTTCTAAGTGCATGATTCAGTATTGTTAAGTATAAGTACTGTGTTGTACAGTAGATCTCTAGAACTTATTCATCTTGCACAACTAAAACTTTATACAAAATCAACAAGCTTTTTCTCATTAAGGATATATAATACTTATATAGATACTCTTCATTTTTATGTGTGTATGTGTATACACATGCATATTGTGTATATATGTATACACACTAAGTGAAAGATGTGTGTGTACACACATATGCATGTGTATATATAGTCAGAATCTCTGCTCCCTCTTTTAGTAAAAATTCCCATTTTAGCTGTATTATTTATGAATGAACTAGTTATGTTATCATATTTATCTTCTCTAATGAACTATTTGTTAATAAATCTGTCTTATTACATCTGATATACACCTGACTATATTATTTCTTTGAAGCTATTGTACATTTTATGATGGCATGTGTCCTAATTTTAATTCCCACAAAAGCAGATTCTAAAATAAGAACTAAGAGAAGGGTGTTAGTACATGATGCCAGGACTCACAATTGAGAGTATGAAGAGAGTAAAAACGAGACATTTTAAAGACAATGAAAATTGCCTGAAGAAGTAAGTTTTCACTGTGGGCAACTGAGGGTTAATCTCATTGACTGCCTCTAAGATGTGATATAGAACACCTCCCAGAATTGTCCACCAGAATATAGAGAGGTTGGGACATTATTTGGCTGGCTTTGAGCCCCCATGGCTTTAGAGTTTGCTCTTGGGAAGTGTCAGTTTTCTCACATTTCTTGGTTGCAGTTGTCTTTTATTGAGCAAGCTTGGGATACATAGTTAAAGCTCTCAGGGAGAGAAATAGAGGGTCAGGTACTTGGGGCATGGAGCTATCAAAGTCAGTATGATCTCTCACAGCTAAAAAGAAGATAAAAAGAAGGCGGAGCTGAAAGGAGAGGTTGGCCAAGAAGATAGGTGATGGGGATCTACACCATCTGCCACACCACAGTCATTCTCTCTCTAGGTTTATATCCCTTTCTTTCATAATAAGTTCATTTTTGCTGGTGAAATATTTTTTAAAAATATTTCTTCTAAATTTACAAATGGTTAACAAATACATTCAATATTTTTAAATGTTATTTTGATAAAAAGTAAATTATTCAACACAGTACAATATATACAATTTTCTCAATTATATAAATATTTATATATGCATACACATGGGTATACTGGTATGTGGAGGCTGTGTTTATGGCAGGGGGAAAAACAAAAACAAAATTAAAAATGTTTATGACCAATAATGAGACTAGAGATAGTACTTATTCAAATGTGGTGATTTTGTTTTAAATAAATTTGTTTTAAATAAACTTTTGCTAAGTAATTTAATACCCCCTTAGTATATTGAATAATGAAATAAACCAGTGGAACAGAATTTTGGTCCCAGAAAGAAACTCAATCAGATACGAAAGAAAAGGCATATGTCATTACAAAGATGGCATTATGGATCAGCAAAGCAAGAAGAGTATTAATAGATTTTATTGGAATAATTGGGTATCAGTGTCAAAAAAATTGGATGCATTTATATACCACGAAATATTGTTTTCACTAATTATACAATTCTAGTATAAATAATAATTTAAATATGAAAAATAATACTTTATAATGTCCAGGAGAGAATATCAAGAATATGTTTAAGCATTTTAAAATCAAAAGAAAGAAGACTCTTCCAAAGCTTGAAAAAAGATATAGAATAATGGGAATTCACACAAACTACCTACTAGTGGTTAGTTATATTTTAACAAGCATTCACTATGACAAAATAATAACATTCCCAGTTCTATTTCTTTTCTTTAGTCTTTTTTTTTTTTTTGAGACTGGTCCTCACTCTATTACACAGGAGTGCAGTGGCATGATCACAGCTCCCAGCTATATTTTTAAAAATAACAATCATGCTCTACAGAAGTATACCTGCTGTGCTATTTGAGGTCCTACCATTCCCTGCTAGGAAATTCCAGGCATCCCCTACTGCCTGGAAATTTATGAATCTTAAGATGAATGATACATGGGCATTAATAGATTTGAGGTGTTGAATAAAAATTGTAAGACGTCATTGTTGCAGACTAAGCTCCTCCACTAAGCCCCAATAGGCTACACTAAAAATCAAAATAAAGTCACTCATGCTGTGGCTCCACATCACCAAACTGAAACTGAGTTGTAGTCTGGCCTTCCAGGAGATCAGGAGAGAGAGAAAACTTTCTAGTTTCCTAAGCAGGCCAGTTTCGATTGGCATAACAAAATTTCCTTCATTTTAATCCTTACAACAAAATGAAACCTGAAGTGACCTGATGGTAACCAGTTATTTTTCTATTATTCTGTGTCCCTGACCCCACCTTCCAAGGAAAATAAGTTTTGAAATGACCAATCTGCACTTTGATCTTTGTTTCTGCTTTCTTTGGCTACTTTTTTCATAAAACCACCCCCCTCCACGCAGCTCATTGGAACACTTATTTTATTTCATAGAATGGAGCGTTGCCCAATTTACAATAATGCTGACTGAGATCTTTAAACTAAATTTGTTTTAATTTTGTCTTTGACAGAAGTAGAAGGGCCCACATTAAGTCTAAAGTGAAAGAAAAGCAAGAGGATGCAGGTGGTATTGGGCTTTTATGTTGGTCAGAAGGTGGAGCTGGTGAGGCTGGTGTCAAGCTTACAGATGCAGAAGACAGGAAAAGCCAAGGACTGATGCATCGCCTCAGTAATATCTACATTAGCATAGTTTATTATGTGCATAGATAGCAAAAAAAGAACAAGGGAAAAAATGATGGAACCCTGTGATCCTGGTCCCATATACCAAGAAGGCTGGCATCACAACAAGTGCTTAATTACAACATGAGTAGTAGAATATCTCATTACTGAGGAGTCTAAATTTTATAGCTCTACTCTGAGGGGGAAAGCAAGGCCAATATTCCCATACCTCAGAAACTGATAGATTCAGAAATACTGCCTTCCCCCAGCCTCCCAAGTAAGACAAAGAGGCGAGTGGGAGATTATCTCAGAACAGCTTCTTACAAGGATCCCACTCATGTCCCAGGGAGATCAGATAACACCATGCTCCAGTGAAAACTCAGACTAGGTGCGGGTCAAGCCTATGCCCACGTGGCCTATTTAGATATGTGCAAAATGACCAGAATACCATAGTGGAGCTTGCCCCCTACAGCTGAGGTTGGCCTAGTTTGATTGGAATTAAGAGCCTGTGCCACCTTCCACCACAGATTGCCCAGATGTGAAGCATAAAGTAAAGAGAAGGGGTAGGGACTTGAAAGGAGTCAGCAGTATAACCCCAAACCAGAGTCCTTCTTTTTATTATTATATGTGCACAAGAATATTATTTGCTAAATTCTTCTACTATATTAATAAAAATAATATGGTACTGCATTTCTAAAATGTTCATTTTTCACATTATCACCATTGCAATGTATCTGCCAATCCATGTTGTTATTATAGTTGTATCTGCTACTGTTGATGCTCTCTTATTGATAGATAAAACAGTGATACGTCCTACAATTAAGGTCATCTTCAATTTCTTGAAATAGTGTATGTATTGTCATTTTGATTATATAACGTATTTCATAATAAAATGTTTTAATGGAGAGTCAGAAGTAAAATATTGAAACAGCAAATAAAAACAACACTTGCAAGGATACTTGCTATAAAAAGGAATGACATTGGATAAATAGTGGCATGTGTGATCAGAGAAATTTTTTTTTAAAGATGGAAGATATTACAACATGTATTTAATCTGATGGGATGATTAAATAAAAAGACAATTATACCAGAGGGAGAAGACGTAATTTCCGGAAAAAAGTATTTGAGAAAAGATGAAAAAAATAATGACCCAGGATACAGCTCTAAAGAGGGGGCTTTGAATAAAAATAAAAACTTGTGACATCAGAATGGACTATAGAATATATTGGTAAAGGTACAGTTTCATTGCTAAATTTGATGCCCGGAAAATTAGACTCTTCCAAATGCTTCAAATTATCTCATTGGAATAGTACTTCACTAATTCAGGTTGCTGTAACTGCCACAGTCTGAGTCACTTTCAAACAACAAAAATGTATTTCTCACAGTTCTGGAGGCCGTAAGTCCCATGATCAGGGTGATCAGGGTGCCAGCCTGGTTTGATTCCAGTGAGAGCCCTCTTTGGGGTTGCACAACAGGACTGTATTCTCACCTGGCAAAAAGAAGTTGGGTTCCTTTTATAAGGGCACTAATCTCATTCATGAGGGCTCTACCTTCATGACCTAATTATCCTTTAAAGGCACCATCTTGTAATGCTATCACATTGGGAGGTTACAATTTCAACATCTAAATTTGGTGGGAGCCACGATGCGGGGCGGGCATAAATATTCAGTCCCTTGCAGAATAGAAGGAAATTATCAGCTGAGGATAGGAAGATAGAATATGTATGGGATGTTCAAAAGAGACAAAGACATGTGAAATATTTTTGGGGGAGAGTAAGAAAGTATGAAACACAAATTTTGTAGATACATATTTAAGTCAGAAAAGTTATTTTTTATATGGATGAATGGATCAGTTATCTTTCATGTATGTGCACATTCTGCTCTTCCAGGAAAGGAACAGAACAGATAGAGAATTTAGTTTCTATCAAGGTTGCAGTTATATGAAATATGTTTAATAGAAAAATTGGAGCAAGGACTGTGTATAAATGTATAAATGGCCAAGGGCAATGAAGAGTACAAAATGGACCAAGCATGAATAATATCTAGAAAAGATCAGCACAGAAATGGCTAATGAGATAGAAAAAAATGGGTCAAGTCAATTCATTACAGACTTTAAGGAAGTAAAAATATTTTTGGAATGTAGGCACTAAAAAAAGACAAATTAGAAAGTGTTGGAAAAAGGTAAGTGTTGATTAAAGTGGGATGCTTGAAACTGAGATTTTTTTATAGTTCTACAGCTACTGACAATCACGAAGCTTAGAATATAACAATGGGAGTTTCTGACTGAGTGACTTGGAGCAACAGGCTATTGGAACTAGAGAAGTCAAAGAGTGGAGGTATTCACCACTGCTTTCCAGGTAAAGACCCCTGGGAGCACACTTGTACTTGACCAACACATTGTGAGGAGGTGAGACACACACCATGGGGAAATGTGGGGCATTTTAGTAAGATGTTACAAAGGAATTATTATATTTTTGGACTTTGGTTGAGATTGAAATGGACTTTGGGTAGCAAGGCTTTGCTCTAGATGGGATGCTATCAAGAGGCAGGGGGCAATCTATGATCATTTTAATTCATCTTACCTATAAGAAGGAAAGACTAGGCCAAGGATAAACTAGTAACTGTTAAAGAAGAGGCAGTTGTTCCTATTAGTTAAGATAAGGGGGCCAGATGCCGTTCATGCCTTTAATCCCAACACTTTGGGAGGCTGAAGTGGGGGTTTCATTTGAGCCCAGAAGTTAGAGACCAGCCAACATAGGGAGACTTCTCTAGGACTCTACAAAAATAAAAATTAGCTCATTGTGGTGGCACATACCTGTGGTCCCAGCTACTTGGGAGGTTGAGGTGGGAGGAACACTGGGGATCAGGATGTTGAGGCTGCAGTGAGCCTTGATCACGACGCTGCACTCTAGCTTAGGCAACAAAGTGAGACTCTGTTTCAAAAAATCAGCAGACATTTAGACATTTTTGTGGTTAGAAAAATATATTTTATACTGTGATCATACAAGTTTATGTTACTAACTTGTTTTTCATTGATTAATCACAGTTGCAGATTTGCCTTGTCTGATGTTAATATTCCACTAATATTCCAAAAAAGTCCTTATGTTCAACAGAAAACACCAAGGCCTCACTGTGAGCAGCAGGCCAGCTTCTGTCACCACCAAAGCATAGCCGATAGTAGCGGGCTAGCTTTGAATGACACAGGCTGCCTTTCTCTTTCTCAGGAAGCCCATTTTCCATAATTAAAACAGTATCTCTTACAACTACAGGAGGTCACACAACCTGTATTTAACCAGTAAGTGGTAAGAATGAGTCATTGGAGAGCTTTTGTTTTCTTGCTCAAGCAGCAGACACAACAGGACAAATTCCATTTTTTAAAATCTTATCAGATTCAAATATGGCCAGATGATTTGAGATACATCAGCCTTCTTATGACTAAGAGGCAAGGCAAAATTATGAAGACAACAAACCAACATTCTGAGAATTGCAGAGCCTGAACAGAGACCGAACCAAAGCTAGGAACTGCCTATATGTGGACTTCAGATTATGTGAGAAAAATATGCCTATATTTGTTAACCCAGTTAGCAAAGAATATGTTACAGATGGAAACAATCAATTGCAAGTGAAACAAAAATATTCTTTAAAATATTGAAAACTGTAGAATCTTGCTTAGATCAGGCTGGAAATTCCAGAAGGTACAGTACATCGCTTGGTTGGGGATGGTGATTTTTGGATCAGACCAGACTGATGGAGGCAAGCCCTGGTGATGATGTACAACCTGGAGGCTTTACCTACTGGTGGTGCCTGAATGATTGATTGGGTCAGGGAAACCTCCATTACAACACAATCTATTTTGGGGAACTGGTTGCATAGGCAGTTTTTAGTCATGATGGAGACAATAATCTGGTGAGTGGGTGGTGTGGGTATGCAAAGGGGAAGTAGATTTACTCAAAATAACTGGAGCTCTGGAGAGCTCAAGGAAACCCTAATTTAAGCCTCTGCCCAAATCTGTTTGTTCATTTTTTCTTTCTTTTTTTGTCCTCCTTTCTTTTTTCCTTCCTTCCTTCCTCTCTCTCTCTCGCTCCTTCCTTCCATCTTTCCTTCTTTCCTTCCTTTTTTCTCTCTTTCCTTCCTTCATTTCTTCCTTTTTTCTTTCCTTCCTTATTTTCTCCTTCATTCCTTCCTTTCTTCTCCTTCCTTTCCTTCCTTCCTTCCGTCCTTCTTTCTCCTTCCTTTTCTTCCTTCCTTCTCTCTCTTCTTTCTCTTTCCTTCTCTCTTTCTCTTTCTCTCCTTCCTTCTCTCTCTTCTTTCTCTCTCTTTCCTTCTCTCTTTCTTTCTCTCCTTCCTTCTCCCTTCCCTCCATCCTTCCTTTTTTTTTTCCTTCTTTCCTTCCATCCTTCCTTCCTTCCTTTCTTTCTCTCTCTCTCTCTCCTTCCTTCTCCCTTCCCTTCCCTTCCCTCCATCCTTCCTTTCTTTCTCTTTTTTCTTTTTCCTTCCTTCCTTTCTTTCTTTCGTTCTTTTGTTCTTTCTTTCTTTTTACTCTCCTTCTTTCTTTCTCTCTTTCATGGAGAGGTAAAAGGTCCTCTTAATAACATAGATGAACTTAATCTTAAGTAATTTTGTCCATCTTATCAAAGGCAATTTTTAAATCAGACACAATAATATGGATGATTACTTCTATGCTCATTGAATGCCAGGCAGTATGCTAATCCCTTCCCATTGGTGTAATATATCTTGAAATCTGTAAACCAGGGACATGGGGATTAAAAGAAAAATCTATAAAGGAAATTTTGAATATATGCAGAAAAGGAAACCATACTATACATTCTATGGTCCCATATACCTATAACTTTGAATTTGTCAGGATCTGTTTTACCAGAACACAACTCCTTAATTCACTTCATGGTCTCGAGAATAATTATATATGAGTCCTAATATATATGTGAGGGAAATGACAACATCTGTAAAACCTTTTATATTTTCATATTTTCTTTTTAAATTTTTTATACCAACTAAAGATAAGAATTGACAACAATACTGTGCTCTAAGCTTTTCCTGATTTATAAGTATGTATAGCCATTTTCATTTTCCTACACAGTTATTTACTAATTATGAGACTTTAATAAAAATTTTTCTAAGTATGTTTTTTTCTAAAATTTGACAAGTAAAGGTCTTGTAGTGTTTATTAAGTTGTCTTTATTTGTTCCTTCCTTAATTCATACCATAGATTCTATTTTAATTGCACATTTAATGCTTTCATTGTTTTTATTCTTTAACCCTTTCTCCAATTTTCCTCCTTCCCCTAATTCCTTGGTAGTCTTTTTTTTTTAAATTATTATTATACTTTAAGTTTTAGGGTACATGTGCACAATGTGCAGGTTAGTTACATATGTATACATGTGCCATGCTGGTGTGCTGCACCCATTAACTTGTCATTTAGCATTAGGTATATCTCCTAAAGCTATCCCTCTCCCCTCACCCTACCCCACAACAGTCCCCAGAGTGTGATGTTCCTCTTCCTGTGTCCATGTGTTCTCATTGTTCATTTCCCACCTATGAGTGAGAATATGCGGTGTTTGGCTTTTTGTTCTTGAGATAGTTTACCAAGAATGATGATTTCCAATTTCATCCATGTCCCTACAAAGGACATGAACTCATCATTTTTTATGGCTGCATAGTATTCCATGGTGTATATGTGCCACATTTTCTTAATCCAGTCCCTCATTGTTGGACATTTGGGTTGGTTCCAAGTCTTTGCTATTGTGAATAGTGCCGCAATAAACATACGTGTGCATGTGTCTTTATAGCAGCATGATTTATAGTCCTTTGGGCATATACCCAGTAATGGGACGGCTGGGTCAAATGGTATTTCTAGTTCTAGATCCCTGAGGAATTGCCACAATGACTTGCACAATGGTTGAACTAGTTTACAGTCCCACCAACAGTGTCAAAGTGTTCCTATTTCTCCACATCCTCTCCAGCACCTGTTGTTTCCTGACTTTTTAATGATTGCCATTCTAACTGGTGTGAGATGATATCTCATTGTGGTTTTGATTTGCATTTCTCTGATGGCCAGTGATGGTGAGCATTTTTTCATGTTTTTTTTGGCTGCGTAAATGGCTTCTTTTGAGAAGTGTCTGTTCATGTCCTTCGCCCATTTTTTGATGGGGTTGTTTGTTTTTTTCTTGTAAATTTGTTTGAGTTCATTGTAGATTCTGGATATTAGCCCTTTGTCAGATGAGTAGGTTGCGAAAATTTTCTCCCATTTTGTGGGTTGCTTGTTCACTCTGATGGTAGTTTCTTTTGCTGTGCGGAAGCTCTTGAGTTTAAAGAGATCCCATTTGTCAATTTTGGCTTTGGTTGCCATTGCTTTTGGTGTTTTAGACATGAAGTCCTTGCCCATGCCTATGTCTTGAATGGTAATGCCTAGGTTTTCTTCTAGGGTTTTTATGGTTTTAGGTCTAATGTTTAAGTCTTTAATCCATCTTGAATTAATTTTTGTATAAGGTGTAAGGAAGGGATCCAGTTTAAGCTTTCTACATATGGCTAGCCAGTTTTCCCAGCACTATTTATTATATAGGGAATCCTTTCTCCATTTCTTGTTTTTCTCAGGTTTGTCAAAGATCAGATAGTTGTAGATATGCGGCGTTATTTCTGAGGGCTCTGTTCTGTTCCATTGATCTATATCTCTGTTTTGGTACCAGTACCATGCTGTTTTAGTTACTGTAGCCTTGTAGTATAGTTTGAAGTCAGGTAGCGTGATGCCTCCAGCTTTGTTCTTTTGGCTTAGGATTGACTTGGTGATGCGGGCTCTTTTTTGGTTCCATATGAACTTTAAAGTAGTTTTTTCCAATTCTGTGAAGAAAGTCATTGGTAGCTTGATGGGGATGGCATTGAATCTATAAATTACCTTGGGCAGTATGGCCATTTTCACGATATTGTTTCTTCCTACCCATGAGCATGGAATGTTCTTCCATTTGTTTGTATCCTCTTTTATTTCCTTGAGCAGTGGTTTGTAGTTCTCCTTGAAGAGGTCCTTCACGTCCCTTGTAAGGTGGATTCCTAGGTATTTTATTCTCTTTGAAGCAATTGTGAATGGGAGTTCACTCATGATTTGGCTCTCTGTTTGTCTGTTATTGGTGTATAAGAATGCTTGTGATTTTTGTACATTGATTTTGTATCCTGAGACTTTGCTGAAGTTGCTTATCAGCTTAAGGAGAGTTTGGGCTGAGACAATGGGGTTTTCTAGATATACAATCATGTCATCTGCAATCAGGGACAATTTGACTTCCTCTTTTCCTAATTGAATACCCTTTATTTCCTTCTCCTGCCTAATTGCCCTGGCCAGAACTTCCAACACTATGTTGAATAGGAGTGGTGAGAGAGGGCATCCCTGTCTTATGCCAGTTTTCAAAGGGAATGCTTCCAGTTTTTGCTCATTCAGTATGATATTGGCTGTGGGTTGTCATAGATAGCTCCTATTATTTTGAGATATGTCCCATCAATACTTAATTTATTGAGAGTTTTTAGCATGAAGGGTTGTTGAATTTTGTCAAAGGCCTTTTCTGCATCTATTGAGATAATCATGTGGTTTTTGTCTTTGGTTCTGTTTATATGCTGGATTACATTTATTGATTTGTGTATATTGAACCAGCCTTGCATCCCAGGGATGAAGCCCACTTGATCATGGTGGAGAAGCTTTTTGATGTGCTGCTGGATTCGGTTTGCCAGTATTTTATTGAGGATTTTTGCATCAATGTTCATCCAGGATATTGCTCTACAATTCTCTTTTTTGGTTGTGTCTCTGCCCGGCTTCAGGATCAGGATGATGCTGGCCTCATAAAATGAGTTAGGGAGGTTTCCCTCTTTTTCTATTGATTGGAATAGTTTCAGAAGGAATGGTACCAGTTCCTCCTTGTACCTCTGGTAGAATTCAGCTGTGAAACCATCTGGTTCTGGACTCTTTTTGGTTGGTAAGTAAGCTATTGATTATTGCCAGAATTTCAGCTCCTGTTATTGGTCTATTCAGAGAGTCAACTTCTTCCTGGTTTAGTCTTGGGAGGGTGTATGTGTTGAGGAATTTATCCATTTCTTCTAGATTTTCTAGTTTATTTGCATAGAGGTCTTTGTAGTATTCTCTGATGGTAGTTTGTATTTCTGTGGGATCGGTGGTGATATCCCCTTTATCATTTTTTATTGAGTCTATTTGATTCTTCTCTCTTTTCTTCTTTATTAGTCTTGCTAGCGGTCTATCAATTTTGTTGATCCTTTCAAAAAACCAGCTCCTGGATTCATTACTTTTTTGAAGGGTTTTGTGTGTCTCTATTTCCTTCATTTCTGCTCTGATTTTAGTTATTTCTTGCCTTCTGCTAGCTTTTGAATGTGTTTCCTCTTGCTTTTCTAGTTCTTTTAATTGTGATGTTAGGGTGTCAATTTTGGATCTTTCCTGCTTTCTCTTGTGGGCATTTAGTGCTATAAATTTCCCTCTACACACTGCTTTGAATGTGTCCCAACGATTCTGGTATGTTGTGTCTTTGTTCTCATTGGTTTCAAAGAACATCTCTATATCTGCCTTTATTTCATTATGTACCCAGTAATCATTCAGGAGCTGGTTGTTCAGTTTCCATGTAGTTGAGCGGTTTTGAGTGAGTTTCTTAATCCTGAGTTCTAGTTTGATTGCACTGTGGTCTGAGAGACAGTTTGTTATAATTTCTGATCTTTTATATTTTCTGAGGAGAGCTTTACTTCCAACTATGTGGTCAATTTTGGAATAGGTATGGTGTGGTGCTGAAAAAAATGTATATTCTGTTGATTTGGGGTGGAGAGTTCTGTAGATGTCTGTAGCCTCTCCTCCTCCAAAGGAACGCAGCTCCTCACCAGCAATGGAACAAAGCTGGATGGAGAATGACTTTGACGAGATGAGAGAAGAAGGCTTCAGACGATCAAACTACTCCGAGCTACAGGAGGAAATTCAAACCAAAGGCAAAGAAGTTGAAAACTTTGAAAAAAATTTAGATGAATGTATAACTAGAATAACCAATACACAGAAGTGCTTAAAGGAGCTGATGGAGCTGAAAGCCAAGGCTCGAGAACTATGTGAAGAATGCAGAAGACTCAGGAGCTGATGCGATCAACCAGAAGAAAGGGTATCAGTGATGAAAGATGAAATGAATGAAATGAAGTGAGAAGGGAACTTTAGAGAAAAAAGAATAAAAAGAAAGGAACAAAGCCTCCAAGAAATATGGGACTATGTGAAAAGACCAAATCGACGTCTGATTGGTGTACCTGAAAGTGATGGGGAGAATGGAACCAAGTTGGAAAACACTCTGAAGGATATTATCCAGGAGAACTTCCCCAATCTAGCAAGGCAGGCCAACATTCAGATTCAGGAAATACAGAGAATGCCACAAAGATACTCCTGGAGTAGAGAAACTCCAAGACACATAATTATCAGATTCACCAAAGTTGATATGAAGGAAAAAATGTTAAGGGCAGCCAGAGAGAAAGGTCAGGTTACCAACAAAGGGAAGCCAAACAGACTACCAGCGGATCTCTCGGCAGAAACTCTACAAGCCAGAAGAGAGTGGGGGCCAATATTCAACATTCTTACAGAAAAGAATTTTCAACCCAGAATTTCATATCCAGCCAAATTAAGCTTCATAAGTGAAGGAGAAATAAAATCCTTTACAGACAAGCAAATGCTGAGAGATTTTGTCACCACCAGGTCTGCCCTAAAAGAGCTCCTGAAGGAAGCCCTAAACACGGAAAGGAACAACTGGTACCAGCCACTGCAAAATCATGCCAAATTGTAAAGACCATCGAGGCTAGGAAGAAACTGCATCAACTAAGGAGCAAAATAGCCAGCTAACATCATAATAACAGGATCAAATTCACACATAACAATATTAACTTTAAATGTAAATGGACTAAATGCTCCAATTAAAAGACACAGACTGGCAAATTGGATAAAGAGTCAAGACCCATCAGTGTGCTGTATTCAGGAAACCCATCTCACGTGCAGAGACACATATAGGCTCAAAATAAAAGGATGGAGGAAGATCTACCAAGCAAATAGAAAACAAAAAAAGGCAGGGGTTGCAATCCTAGTCTCTGATAAAACAGACTTTAAACCAACAAAGATCAAAAGAGACAAAGAAGGCCATTACATAATGGTAAAGGGATCAATTCAACAAGAAGAGCTAACTATCCTAAATATATATGCACCTAATACAGGAGCACCCAGATTCATAAAACAAGTCCTGAGTGACCTACAAAGAGACTTAGACTCCCACACAACAATAATGGGAGACTTTAACACCCCACTGTCAACATTAGACAGATCAACGAGACAGAAAGTTAACAAGGATACCCAGGAATTGAACTCAGCTCTGCACCAAGTGGACCTTGGTAGTCTTTTTAAATTCTCATCTTCCCTTCCTCCCATTCAATTCTTCTTTTCCTGACTTTTTTTAAAATAAAATTTTTCTCATGTTAGTCCACATGTAAATTAGTAAACTTTCAAATTTGATATACAATGGTTGCTAGTACATTAAATTTTAAGTATGTGCAGATAGAAATAAATATATTTGATGTAAAAATGTATTTTTATGTTTGCTTTAGAACTCTTGGAGCTAACCATACCACTTATTTGACAACTTTTAAAAATAACTGTATATCATTTTATACTTTCTTCAGTGATCTCTTAGAAGTAGGTTGCAACTTGATAATCTTAGGACATTAACATCCTAGCCTTGAAAATAACGTTTATTTTCATTGGCATGCATCATTTTAAAAGTCAAAAGGCAATCACATTTACACTTTTTTTTAATTTTAATTTTTTTACAGTTGAGTTTACTTTTTTTTTTTTTAACATTTATTTAAGTTGAGGGGTACATGTGCAGGTTTGTTACACAGGTAAACTTGTGTCATGAGGGTCTGTTGTGCAGATTATTTCACCACCCAGGTATTAAGCCTAGTACTCATCAGTTGTTTTTCATGATCCTCTCCCCCTCCCACCTTTTACCCTCCCATAGGCCCCAGAGTGTTTTCCCATCTATGTGCCCACGTGTTCTCTCACATTTAGCGCTCATTTATAAGTGAGCACATGTGGTATTTGGTATTCTATTCCTTAGTTTGCTAAAGATAATGGCCTCCAGCTCCAACTGTCCCTCCAAAGTAAATGATCTGATTCTTTTTATTGGCTGCATAGGATTCCATGGTATGTATGTACAACGTTTTCTTAATGCAGTCTACCATTGATGGGCATTTAGGTTGATCCATTTTCTTTGCTATTGTGAATAGTGTTGCACAAACATACACATGCATGCATTTTTATAATAGAATGATTTATATTCCCTTGGGTCTATACCCAGTAATGGGGGTTCTGGGTCAAATAAATATTTCTGTCTTTATGTCTTTGAAGTATTTCTGTCTGGCATAAAGGTTTTTCTGTCTTTATGTGTTTGAGGAATCGCCACTCTGTGTTTCACAATAATTGAAATAATTTACATTTCCCAAAGCAGTGTATAAACATTCCTTTTTCTCCACAACCTCGCCAGCTCTGTTTTGTTGTTGTTGTTGTTGTTGTTTTACTTTTTATTAATAGCCATTCTGACTGGTGTGAGATTGTATCTCATTATGGTTTTAATTTGCATTTCTCTAATGACCAGTGATGTTGAACTTGTTTTCATGTGATTATTGGCCACATGTATGTCTACTCTTGAAGTGTCTGTTTATATCCTTTGCCCACTTTTAAATAGGGTTTTTTTTTTCTTGTAAGTTTGTTTGAGTTCCTTATAGATGCTGGATATTAGACCTTTGTCTGATGCACAGTTTGCAAAAATTTTCTCCTATTCTGTAGGTTGTCTGTGCACTCTGTTGATAGTTTCTTTTGCTGTGCAGAAGCTCTTAAGTTTAGTTATATCGCATCTGTCAATTTTTTCTTTTTTTGCAATTGCTCTGGCATCTTCATCATGAAACTTCTGACCATGCCTATGTTCTGAATGGTATTGCCTAGGTTGTCTTTCAGGGTTTTTATAATTTTGGCTTTTGCATTTAAATCTTTAATCCATCCTGAGTTAATTTCTGCATAGATTGTAAAGAAGGAGTCCAGTTTTAATCTTCTGCATATGTCTAGCCAGTTATCACAGCACCATTTATTAAATAGGGAATTCTTTCCCCATTGCTTGTTTTTTGCAGGTTTGTCAAAGATCAAATGGTTGTAGGTGTGTGTTCTTATTTCTGGGTTCTTTATTATGTTGCATTGGTCTATGTATCTGTTCTTGTACTAGTACCATGCTGTTTTGGTTACTGTACCCTTGTAGTATAGTTTGAAGTCAGGTAGTATAATGCCTCCAGCTTTGTTCTTTTTGCTTAGGATTGTCTTGGCTATTCAGGCTCTCTTTTGGTTCCACATGGATTTTAAAATAGTTTTCTCTAGTTTTGTGAAGAATGTCAATGGTAGTCTAATAGAAATCGCACTGAATCTATAAATTACTTGTTGCAATATGGCCATTTTCATGAAATTTATTCTTCCCATCCATGAGAATGGATGTTTTTTACTTGTTTTTGTCATCCCTGCTTTCTTTGAGCATGGTTTGATGTTCTTCTTGTAGAGATCTTTTACCTATCTAGTTAGCTGTATTCCTAGGTATTTCATTTTTTTGTGGTAATAGTGAATGAGTTTCTTCCTGGTTTGGCTCTCAGCTTGACTTTATTTGGTGTATAGAAATACTAGTGACTTTTGCACATTGATTTTGTATCCTGAAACTTTCCTGAAGTTGTTTATCAGCTTACGAAGCTTTTAGGCTGAGACTATGTGATGGTTTTCTAGATGTAGGATTATGCCATCTGCAAACAAATATAGTTTGACTTCCTCTCTTCCTATTTGGATGTTCTTTATTTCTTTCTATTGCCAGAACTTCCAATACTATGTTGAATAGGAGTGGTGAGAAAGAACACTCTTTTTTTTGTGCCAGTTGTCAAGGGGAATGCTTCCAGCTTTTGCCCATTCAGCATAATATTGGCTGTGGGTTTGTCACATATGGCTCTTATTATTTGAGGTATGTTTCTTCATTACCTAGTTTATTCAGAGTTTTTCACATGAAGATATGTTGAATTTTATTTAAAGCTTTTTCTGCACCTATTGAGATAATCATGTAATATTTTCTTTTTAGTTATATTTATGTGATGAATCACATTTATTGATTAGCATATGTTGAACCAACCTTGCATCCTGGGGATGAAGCCTACTTGATTGTGGTGGATAAGCTTTTTGATGTGCTTCTGGATTCATTTTGCCAGTATTTTACAGAAGATTTTTGTATTGATGTTCATCAAACATGTTGGCCTGAAGTTTTCTCTTCTTGTTATATCTCTGCCAGGTTTTGGTATCAAAATGACGCTGGCCTCATAAAATGTGTAAGGGAGGAGTCCTTCCTCTTAAATTTTTTTTTGAAAAGTTTCAGTAGGAATGGAACCAGCTCTTCTTTGTGCATCTGTTATAATTCAGCTATGAATCCATTTGGTTCTGTGCTTTTTCTTTCTTGGTAGGCTATTTATGACTGACTAAATTTCAGAGCTCTTTATTGGTCTGGTTAGGGATTCAAATTCTTCCTGGTTCAGTCTTGGGAGGGTGTATGTGTCCAAGAATTTATCACATCTTCTAGATTTTTTTTGGTTTATGTGCATAATATAAACTGGAAATAATATTCATAATATTATTCATAATGTTCTCTGATGGTTGTTTGTATTTCTTTGAGGTGAGTGGTAATATCTTCCTTGTCATTTTTGATTCTGTTTATTTGAATCTTCTCTATTTTCTTACTTATTAGTCTACCTAGCAAACTACCCATTTTATTAATTTTTTCAAAAAACAGCTCCTGAATTTGAATGATATGTTGTGTCTCAGTCTTCTTCAATTTAGCTCTGATTTTGGGTATTCTTTTGTCTTCTGCTGGCTTTGCAATTTGTTTGCTCTTGGTTCTCTCATTCTTTCAGATGTGATGTTAGGTTGTTAACTTGAGATCTTTTTAACTTTTTGTGGGCATTTAGTGCTATAAATTTCCCTCTTAATGCTGCCTCGGCTGTGTCCCAGAGATTCTAGTATGTTGTAGTTTTGTTCTCATTAGTGTCAAATAACTTCGTGAATTTTTGCCTTAATTTCATTATTTGGAGCAGGCTGCTGGCCAGCTCAGGTCTAGGTGCCTTCTCTGTGCCCTGCAGGCAGAAGCCATCACTCAGGGTGTGGGAAGATCTCCTGTTCTTTGCACAGCGTTAGTGCAAGAGCGGGGTGCTGGCAGATGTGGGGCTTGCTGACTCTGAACCCACCAAGGGTCAGTCTGCAATGGTGGTCAGTGGGGGTAGGGGATGTGCTGCACTCCTGTGTGCTGGCAAGTGAAGCAAAAATTTTCTGTGCAGACATGTACCAGCAAATTGATGTGCAGAGTTGCTGCACATGGGGGAAGCTGCAGTATGGGGAGAAAATATGTGGGCTGGTGTGTGAGTGTAGGAGCCGCCTCAGTGGAGATCTCCACCAGTCAGGCACAATGCACCAGCACAGAAGCTATGGTATGGGCCCTCAGGGAACCCACAACTGCCCTGTAAGCGCATGAGACTAGGCTGGGTTCCCAGGAGAGGCCAGCACACCAAGGAGTGCTCAGGTCTGACCAGTCCCATCTGATGTGCAAGACTGCCCTGCAGAGATCAGGTCTGACAATTTCCTAGGGCTAAGTCTCTTATGGGAGCAAGTCGGGCTTAGAAAGATGGCTGGCCCTGGACATGCTCTGCTACAGATGCTCCTGCACCAAACTCTGTGGGCTCCACATCAGCTGGCTTGCTGCTAACCCACTTTGCTTGTCTATTGGTTGCTCCACACCAGAGAGATGTGAGTTAGCAACTGCTTAGTGCAATTATCCCTGGATGTAGGGTCTGTGCTGTAAAAGCAAGCTAGGGGTTCCCTGTCTGGTGATAAGCAGTGGGGGATATGTGGGACCCATGGGAGACAGACTGTCTTCCTCTCCTTGGGTTGACTGCAGCTTGTTGGAAGTGTGGATAAGGCACTCAGGGTATTTGCTCCTTCATTAGTCAAAAGGTGGCAAGGGCAGTTCAATTGTAGAGGCAGCATTAGAGTGTCTTTCAGTTGCCCCTGGAGGGTCTGTCCAGGGAGTTGCTGAGCTGCTACTGGCTCAGTAGCTTTAGTAGGGGGTGGCTAGAGGCTCAGGCCTGGAGGAACTATTCAGTTGGGAAATATGGGAATGGGCACCCATTTAAAATTCTGTCCACTTTTCTGTAGGGCAGCTGCAGTATGCTGGGGGTCCACTTCAGTCCCTAGTCAACTCGGATTTTCCAGTACCTGGAAGTAACACCAGTGAAGGCTGCCAAACAGCAAAGATGGCAGCCTGCACCTCCCTCTGGCAGCTCTGTCCCAGGAAAGTACAGGCCTGTTGCCAGCCAGAATGCTGGCTAAACACCCCTGTTCAGAATTCTCACCCAGTCAGTAGGAACAAGATTGAGGACCCACTTAAAAAGTTAGTCTAGCCATGTCCCAGGGAGGTGCAATGCTGCTACCAGTGCCTGGCTGGAATTTTAAGTCTTATCCTGTGAGGCACCGTGGAAGCGGGGCCTGCAAACTATCACTGCTCATCCCCCTAAATTCAAACTCTTTTCTAGGGGTATGCACGGGGTCTAAACTCCCACTTTGCTGGAGTTGCAGCTACTTTTGCCAGACAGCCAGAGTATCTAAAGCTCCTGGGTCTCTACGTGTGCCTGAGTGGCTGTTCTGCCAAGACTCCACTCAGATTGAAGGCCTTAGTGGAGTGGGTTCATGTCGGCGGGCTCCTGACCCGAGAGTTGCAAAGATCAGTGGGACTAGTGTGGGTTCCCAGGGTTGCACATTCACTCACCACTTCCTAGGGCAGGGGAGGTCCCCTTGGTTCCGTATTGCTGCCTGGTGGATGATCATCCTGCCTTGCTTTTCTCCATTCTCCATGGGTCAAGTTGTTTTCTTGATTAGTCCTAACGCAAGTATATGGATGTTTCAGTTGAAGGTGCTGTGTTCCCTTGCCCCTTTCGTCTCTCTCCGTGAGAGCCATGCACGCTAGCTGCTTTCAGTCGGCTATCTTAGCCACTTCCCAGAAATTATTTTTAAAGAATGCTAAACTCTGTTTGAAAAAGGCGGGTTCAATTCACTGTCAGATAAACAAAATATAAAATTATTATTTTTTCTATACCTTCAACAATCCTGGATCTTAGAAAATTTTGTTTTATTTTTTACAATATGATAGTTGTAAGATTTATCTTATTGTATTAACTGTCACTTCTCTCCCAGCTAGGATAAAAATAATTGTATACATTTATTTCTCCTCTAACATTTCTTTTCCGTGAAATGTTCATCTTTTTGTGTATCGATTTATTGTGCTTGTTTTGCTTGTCTAGAACTTATGAATTATTCACATCTCTATTCATATTTTGGTAATATTTTCTTCAAGTCTGTCACATATGTTTTGATTTTGTTGATTCCATTTGAAAACTGTTACCCTACAGATTATTTTTAAATAAACTCCTGCACTGAAAAATGTGTTAATACTTATCATTGTGACTCATCTTTCCAATACTAATATATGGAGATATAGATAAGAGTTACCTTTTTCTCTACCCTACTATTTTTAGCATAGAGCAGTAACATAATGATTAATGATGTCGTATTAAAATCTGAGTGCTTTAGTTCAAATCCCAGCTCTACCACTTAGCAGCTACACAACACTGGAAAAGATACTCATCTCTTTGTGAAGATAATACTCCAATGTCATAAAACAGTTGTAAATATTAAATTTGTTACAATGTTTTACTTAAGTTTTTTTTGTTTAGAGATTACATTTGTTGTTTAAAGGAGTATAAGGCAATGATTGGCACATACCTTAGTTGTTACTTAATTTATCAATAAATTATTTTAAAATGAGAAAATATTTTATTATTTTTTTCCAACAATTGATAAAAAACATATTACATATGTAAATACTTAATCAGTATTAAATTATAGATGGGGTAGAACTGTGAATTAAAAATATTGCACAACATTATTGGAAGTTTTGACTAAGAAACAAAAGAATACTAACTTTAAAAATAATTGGCAAAATTGTCTTTATGTTAAATTGACATAATTTGCACTTTGGGAACTCATTTACCCTAAAATAAAAATATAAATGATTACATGGAAGGCAAATATTTTTAAAGATTTATTAGTATAAATGTTTTGTATATATGACTCTTTTATATATACTATTAAACATATGTTTCTTGAGAGAGGCCCTCTTGTATTGCTACTTTGCTAATATTTTAAATTATTGTCATATATTTATCTTTCATTTCTTTTTCCTTCAAAATATTTACATATTTTTAACAAGGTTGTAACTTTATAGAATGAATTGGTGAGTTGTTTATTTTATTGGTTTTCTCTTAATCCATAACAAATTACCATGAAGTTAAGTAATGGAAAATATCCCCCATTTTTTATGTTCATTTCTGTGGGTCAGGAATTCAGGTAGGGGTTAGCTGGGTCCCACACCAGCCTAAAATCAAGTGTTGGCCAGAACAGTAGCATCTCCAGAGGCTTGAAGTCTTCTTTCAACCTCATTAAAGCTGTTAGTAAAATTTAGTTTCTTGAGGTTGTAGGACTGAGGTTACAATTTTTTGACTGGTTGTCAATGGAGGACTATCCTCACCCTTCAGAAGCTGCCCACAGGATTCTGCACCTCTTTACAAGGCTGTTTGCTTCTTCAAGGTTAACAAGAGAAGCTGCTGCAGCTTTAAGTCTCTGTGACTTCTTTCACCTCTGTACTCTAAATACTCTTTAAAAGGACTCCCTTGAGGACTTCCACACCAATGAGTGTGGGGCCATCTTAAAATTTTGCTTAGGCCATTTATCTATTTCTATCATTTGGGTTATTATGAATAACTTAGATATTCTGCATCTCTTTCATCTATATTGTCAAAATTATTGGCATAAAATTATTCTTAGTTTTGAAAACTTTTTAATACTATAAATAATCTACTGCTGTCCTTTCTTATATTTTCATCATTTATTTTTTACTCTTTAAAATTCTGCTCAGTTTTGCCAATGATATATTTATTTGCCTTTTCAAATAACTAGTATTTGTTGTTATTTATCACTCTAGTGCTACCTCGTAAGACTCATTAGATGTATGATTTTTTTTATCTCACCCTTCACATCTCTTAATTTTTTTGTATTTGTCATTTTAATACATTATTATGTAGCACCTTGTCCTATTGACTTTGACAGGAGTTGAACCACCTGGAGAGGGATAGCTGAGCTGCCAGGTGTCAGATTAGCAGATTAAAAATGGAAGTAATGGTAAAGTTTTTAATTACTTATTATAATAGTATAAGCAAGAGGCTAAACCAGAGAAAATTTAGACTCTTCCTTGTTTTATTTTTCCCCCACCGAACAGCATACCAGTGGAGGGTCAAGTGAGGGTCAAGTGAAGCTTGACCCTCCAACACAGATGTGAGGTTCATCCCACTGCCACGAGAACCTTGAACAAAAGGCTCCTGAAGTTTTGTGGGTTATAGGGTGGGGAGGGGGGATAAGGGCAAGAAAAATGGGGGGAAGGGCTAGGAGTAGAAAGCTCTGAGTACTATGTAAGATTGGGAAACAGTGTCTTAAAGGTTCTACTCTTCCTCTTCCATAGAAAGGTCTTATCAGTGGTGGCAAAGCCTCAGGTAAAGAGACCTAGAGATAAAGGTGCCTGGCTAGGAATGTAAATGTGTATAACAGCATGGCTGGCAAGAGAAGCCTGAGTCCTTGACTGCAGCTCCCCTCTGAGACTGTCAGTGTTGACTGTGCATCAAGCCTTTGTAATTAGCCATAATTCAGCCTGAAAAATCACACGTGGTTTTTTTGGTCAGGACACAGATTCCTCAGAATTAGATATGATTTTCAATTTCTTACTTTTCTTTTTATGTATTACTAGTCTATTTTAACCTATTTATTGAATGTTTATCTTATTTTAATGATTATTTTAATTTTCACACATTTAATTTTCTGTCTAGATGATTTGTAGTTTTATTATTATTTATTAATATTATCTATTAATCATCTGTTATTGTCATTATCTTTTAATGATTTATTTTTTGCATTCTATTTGCTCTAGTCTTTAAAAAAACTTAACCTAGTTTTATAATGCCCTCTGTATTTTTAATATTATTTTCATTTACTCTAGTATAATTGTGCTTCTTCTTTTATCCACTGACTAAATGGAACCTTAGAGGATTTACTCATATCTGTATGTATGTATGTGTATGAATGTCCATGTGTGTGTTTAACAGAACATTAGCAAGATCTGAAACCAATCCAATAGTCCCATTGACATTTTTTTTTGATAAACATAGAAATTGATCTTTCTGGTCTTAAGGCTTGAAACTTTCATTTGTTTTATCTGAGTTCCTTTATCAGAAGACCCTCAGCCTCTTCAAAAGTATCACAGAAATAAAACTCACTATATCACAGCACCCAGACAATGAGATACCAGGACTCTCATTTGTCATGATTGCTTCCTTACTCCTCTCAGTTCATATTTTCCTAACTGACCACCTGCTTGTTGTTAACCAACTATTCTTCCTCACCCTTCCCTAGTTCCTGTTTCCTCACACAGCTGCATTCTTTCCTTGCTGTAAAAACCCTTAACTTAAGTCAGTCAGGGAGATGGATTTGAGATTGATCTCGTCGGCGACAGCACTGGATTAAAACCTTCTTTCCTGGGAATATTCATTGTCTCAGTGATTGGCTTTCTGTGTGGTGAGGAGCAGGACCTAGACCAAACCCCTGGTGTTTTGGTAACAGACATAAAAGTCATTCACGTGATCTTGTTTGTAAATAAAATATTGTGGGGTAATTTCCCATTCATCTCAGTCTGTACTGTGTGTCATTTATTGGGTCAAGACCAATTTTGGGGTTTGTTCCTTAACCTGGAGTCTCAGTACACATGCACACAGCAAATTTTGTTACCACACTCATGCAGAATAGCGTCTAAGGCTTCATAAATCTTGTGTGTTATTCCATTTACATCCAGAATGGGCAACCAATTTCTAGAATATATCTCTAGGATGATGAATAGAATTTTTCTAATCCTAATTCATGAATGAGAGATAGCTTTATCCTGACAGTTTTCTTTGCTTTATGTAGAGAATAACGTCCTGCTACTTAACCATCTGTGGGGCTTGAGACTTGCAATCTTGATAGCCCCTATTTCTTACTCTGCCTTTGGGATACCTCTTTGTTTATGGCAGATCATGTTCTTGCTCTTGAGCTCACCTACACTTCTCTTTTCATAATTTATCCATTACTTATGTATGTTTTAGGCGGTAATGGTTTTGTTCGGCCTCCATTGGGTGTAAAATTCAGACAGGACTTACTTTTTTTCTCATATAAAACATTTGTCATTTAGAATGACCTGGAACTAATGAGAGAAAGTTATAGAAAATGATTTCAATTCTTTCATCTACTCACATATTTTGAGTAAATTAAGGCCCATTAAAAAACCAAGCAGTTAAATGTTAAAAGCAGTTAAACTGACTTCACTTTTCTGTCTGAAGAGGGCACTGGATTGGGAATACTGAAAACACAGTTCTAGATCTAGCTCTCCCACTCCTGATATATCTTTAGTAAACTCAATGGATCCAATGTGTCAATTTACAAAATAAAGAAGAGGAAAAAAACTGATATCTGTGGTATGTCTGAGCTTTAAGCTATTATAAATACATAATTCTAAAATCATACCTAACTTTCATTTTCTCCAATTCAGAACTAACTCTTGTTCACATACCGTTATTTTGCTTCTTCATTGGTCTTCATTATAGTAAATTCTATTAGTATTACTGTTCAGGCTGGATTAAAATACATAAATATGACTTTTGTGTGTTCATGCATCTTTAAAAATTTGTGGTCATATGAAAGAAAACTGTTGAAGAATAATATTATAGTTCCCAAATAAACTAGATCTATAGCTACATGCTTTTAGATGTGGAAGATGGGGAGCCTTTGGTAATACATAATTCAAAATAGACTAGATTTGCTGCAGTTACGACAATTCTAAAATAACTGTCTTAAAATAAGTAATGTTTATTTCTTATCCATGTGATATGTCTGCAATGGATTTGGGGAAAATGCTTGCGATTGTCCTTTAAAGATCCAGGCTGATGCAGGCCATCCTCATGCATCCTAACACTATCATTTTGGTGGGGAAAGCATTATAACACATAGTATAACATCCTTTAAAGCTTTTGCTCTGAAATGACAATAACCATTCCATCAAATTCTTCAGCATCTAAAACACCACAGGGCAATACCCAATTTCACAGGGGTGGGAAGGAACAATATTACTGATACTAGAAAGGGGTAGGGAAGTGCTGGGAGGAGAAGAGTGGGGTCCCTGGAGAGATCTCCACTCCTGGGCCTGTGCCCACATACCTAGGTGAGGACAGGCACTCCCGTTTTTGTGCTCAAATGTTGCATTTTCTAAGACCACCCTGACCTGCCACACTCCCACTCTGTGCCTATAAAAACCCTGAGACTCTAGCAGGCAGAGACACAAGCAGCTAGACATCGAGAGGAACACACCAGCAGAGGAAAACACAAGCAACTGGATGTCGAGAGGAGCATGCTGGCAGAACACACTGAGACACCAGCAGATTCTGGCAGGCTGACCGGCAGAATGACACAGAGTTGTTGGCCAGGGTAGTGGGAGGAGAGCCCAGCTGCTGGTCAGCCCGACTCCAGGTGAAAACCACCTTCCACTCCATCCCCTTTCTGGTTTGGTTCTCTATCCATCTGCTGAGAGCTACCACTACTCAATAGAACCTTGAACTCATTCTCCAAGCCCACGTGTGATCCGATTCTTTTGGTACACCAAGGCAAGAAACCGTGGGATACAGAAAGTCTCCTGTCCTTGCGATTAGGCAAGGGGTCTAATTAAACTAACACAAGCCACCTAAACTAAAACTGAAGAAGCTAAACTGAAATAAGACACTGTAACACACAACCACGGGTACTGCAGCTGTAAACATTCATCCCTAGCCGCTGCTATGGGGTCAGAGCCCCACAGTCTGCCCATCTGAATGCTCCCCCTCGAGGTGTGAGCATCGGGGCACTGAATGAAGAAGCCAGCCACAGCCCCATCGCATGCCCTGCTAGAGGGACAAGGGAACATTTCCCATTTCATTACCACATGTCCAGAACTAGAAGGCAAATGCCTGTGTATATACCAAAATCAACTACATACTAACGGGTTTTGATTTTTCAGTGACATATTGGTACCATGATTAGGACACATCCTTATCTTTATATAGCTGAGTTAAAGAAGGTAACATGTATTAACCTGTTTGCTTATGCAGACATGTTGTCTGACATTGTGTTTACTGTGAGTGTTTTACTATCAAATACATTTAGAAATAAAATTTCACTAAAATTTTTAAAAATCACCATCATTTGTGGAATAAAAGTTAATTTGAGCTCTGAGGAGGAAAATGGTGCTTCAAATAAGTGTTATTGTTTAAAGGGTGAAAGATAAATCAGAGCTTAATAGGTTGGGATCAAAAAGCAGATTTACTGTAATAAAAATCAACAGTTTAATAAACATTTTTTCAAACAGAATAAAGTTCCTTTGTAATCACTATTGCCAGGATTCAATGCTAAAACACACATACCAAATAGCAAAAGCAGAATAATTTAATGTAGCAAATCATTCTCACTATGTTATCTGAGACAACTTGAATAAAAAAACAGCAAATCAGAATATGTGTGCTACTTCTTTGTCCTTGTATTTGTAGAAGAGTATATGTTAGACAGTGATCTGTCTACTTCAAGGATAAATAACAGAAAGACAATTTGCATGTTAAGATTTCATATTAAAGTGGACTCATAACTATGAGCTCATGTCCTTCCTGCTGACATATGGTCTCAATATGGTTACCGTTGTTTCCTGTCTTTATGTGTTACGAAAGGGCTATAAAATTGCCACCTGCAGACTTATTCTTAAAATGGATTAGGTTTCTTTACTTGCCCACACTGTAATATGGAGTCAAATTAAAATATTTTAAATTATGTGTAAATCGTAAAAATGCTATTCCGCTCCTCAGTTTTGCCGTGCCATGTAGAATTGAATCCTAAGAGAAAACTGGCCCAAACTCCATAAAAACACTTCACTGTCGTTTAAATTTTTTTTTCTTAATTCTGAATACTGATCTCATTATTATTCATTCCCTCAGTAGCTGTCTTGACATTTTCTAGTTCTTTTCCAGCCTTTTTAGTCATTGTCAGCAGGAAAGGGACAGAATCAGGATAAAATACTTTTGATTGGACGTCAGAGGGCTACATTGTTTAAGAAAGGTAAGTTGAATATAGACCAGCCCAATCAGGGACTGCAGACAGCAACAAACATACCTCATGACATAAAGAAGACACTTTCATTAAAAGTCTGACATTATTTCTACAATTAATTTTATATAAGTTTCAGCACACAAGTAAAAATAAATACAATCACAAGGAGTCAACATCAGATGATTGAAATTTAAGAAAAAAATACAATCAGTGCCACAAGAAATTCAGACATGAAGTTATTAGAATCAGTTGTTAAAATAAGTATACTCGTATGTTTCAGAAAACATGCAAATTTGGCAAAAAAGTAGAAACTGCAAGCAAAGAACTAAACAAAAATTATCTCCAAAACAACAAAATATTGAAAAAATCAAAAATTCAGTAAATTAACTTACCAAAAAATCCAATACATCTGAATAATTAGTTCACTAGAGAAAGAAGAGATTATGTAAAATAAAATGTAAAGAAACAAAATATATATATATAAAAGAGACTGTAAAAGACATGGGGATACAGTGAGGGGTTTTAAGAAATGCGTAATTAGAATCCCAGAATAAGAAGAGACAAAGACAGAGCAATACTTAAAAGAGAAAATGGGTAAAAATAACATTATCATGAAGCAAAAAGCTAATGCAATTAAAAGGTAAAAATATCAATTTGCATGACCCTAATATGATAATCTTACAATATATAAATAAAAAATTAGAGTAACTAGTAGCAAAAAGGAAGCAAGCCTACAGTTATAGTGGGAGATTTTAATGTACTCCTTATCCATTGTCCTCTGACGTACTTCAAAGTGTCCTGCAGCTGTACAGATTTTGGCCTTATTTTCATACTATCACAGGTTGTTGTAACCTCTGTTTAATAGTTATTTGAGATGCACTGTTTACTTATTTACTTATAATGAACTCCATGCAAAATTAACTGCTTCAAGGAAAGAATTTACCATGAAGCTAATAAAGTTTAAGTGTCAAGACCCCTCGCTTCCACAGACTCCATACAAGACTCTGAACCTAATTTTGTGTTCATAATTTTGTATTATTCTTTTCAGCAGCCTATTAGCTACATACTGCATACATTTGACTCCTCACAAAACTTGTATTCACCTCTGACATAGCCAAAGATCATGTATAGACATACATCTTAGTTTCAAAAACTCTGATCTTGTATTTATAGCATTCTGTGATCTCATCTTTCTTCTGTCAGTTTAATGGAGGCTATATTGAGAACTTTTCTTTAAAGAACTTTAGTTATAAATGAAAGATTGTTAATCTGATCTTATTCTCTGAAGCGTTTCATAGTGCCTAAAAGAAAGCATTTATTCTGACATTTTTGAGAAAGTTTTGCATCCATTGGCTTATCTTTTGATGAGGCTTAATTTTTAAAGCCACATCATAGAAGATCTTCAGTTTGAAATGCAGAAATAATTAGCTTTTTTTAATCTTATGAAGACTCAAATGAATAGATCATCAGATAATTTAGATTTGGGGAACTAGAAAGAAAAATGTTTTCTTGACAGAAATAAACTCACATTCATTTCAGCTTGTTAATGAGGAATTCAATCAGGCTTTATTAAAAGAAACAGGAGGTAGCCTTATATGCCAAAATTCTGACCTTCAATAGTGCCCCAAAGCTAAACTCAGTTTGCATGTGGTATGTTTTCCAAAGTAAAGTAGGTGATAATACTACCAAATATTATCATAGACTACTAAAAGTTACAGCTTTCTAATTTATAGCATCTGTGTATTTGCTGTTTCTTTCTCAACTGATAAAAAATGCCTTTCTTGGGCTATTTTATGATAGCATTTCACTGCTTGAATCCAAATATTTTATTAGGTAGAATTGAGGTTAACACACTATAAAGAAAAGTCACAAAAATACAATGTCTTAAAAACTGTAATGCTAATTCCTTCTCACTTATGTTCTGTGAAGTGATCAGGGCTGGCACAGAGAATCAAGATTCCTGATTTAACTAGCTCATTGACTATTAAAACAAGTGTTTTCTCTATCACTTTATTGCTGCTTTGTTAATTTTACTTGTATCAGATATGATAGATTAATCCTACATTATAAATAAAGAATAATATTTCTTCAATATATCTTGCCTGCAAAAGTCCAGAGAGGTATAATAGCACTTAGTACATATTTTTAAATGAATTAAATGCTTAAGAAATGATACAAAACATGAATCTATCCTTGATATAAAGATCTTGCATAGACAAACATCTTAATCCTGAAATCTCTGATTTTTCATTGACAATATACTGTTATCTTCTTATCCCTGTTTTATTAGCATTATGGGGGCTCTACTGAAGACATTTTTTTAATGTGGCTTTACTCAGGCACAATGGCACATGCCTGTAGTCCCAGCTACTCAGGAGGCTAAGTCAGGAGGATCACTTGAGCCTGGTAGTTCGAGGCTGTGGTGAGCTATGATTGGGCCACTGCACTCCAACCTGAGCGACACAGCAAGACTCCATCTATCTCTAAAACAAAACAAAAAGACCTTAGTCTAAAAATCTGACAGGCATGGTAGCTTACATCTGTAATAGCAGCCCTGTGAGAGGCCAAAGAGGGAGCATTGCTTGAAGCCAAGAGTTCATGACCAACCTTGGCAACAGAGTGAGATCCTGTCTCCACCAAAAATTGAAAAATTAGCTGGGCATGGTGGTGCTTGCTTGCATTTCCAGCCACTTGGGGTGGGGGGCTGAAGTGGGAGGATCACTTGAGCCCCTGCGATTAAGGCTGTAGTGAGTCATAATCATGCTAACCACACTGTAACCTGGGTGAGAGAGCTAAACTCTTGTCTCAAAAAAATAAAAATACAAATAAATAAAAAAAAGTGGTTTACTTATGAATGGGCATACTTATGAATGCTCATGTCATGAATGTCATAAATAAGTTAAATGTAGAGTTAGTATTTGATGACAGAGCAATCGGATTTCAAACTTTTTCCTTTCTATCATGGAATTTTAATTAATTATTATGTGTTGCTGACTAACATTCTCAGCCCTTTAAAAACAGAAACTTGGGGCCTGGGCAAGATGACCTAATAGGAACAGCTCCGATCTGCAGCTCCCAGTGAGACCAACGCAGAAGGCAGGTGATTATTGCATTTCCAACTGAGATATCTGATTCATCTCATTGGGACTGGTTAGACAGTGGGTGCAGCCCACAGAGGGCGAGTAGAAGTAGGGTAGGGCATTGCCTCACCCAGGAAGCTCAAGGAGTCAGGGAACTCCCTCCCCTAGCCAACAGAAGCCATGAGGGGTGGTGCTATCAGGTTAAAATACTACACTTTTCCCATGGTCTTCACAACCTCAGACCAGGAGATTCTCTTGGGTGCCTACATGTCACTGGGGCTGGGCGGCCATTTGGGCAGACATTGAGCTAGCTGCAGGATTTTTTTTTTTTTCCTATTGTTGCCTGGAATGCCAGCAAGACAGAACAGTTCACTCCCCTGGAAAGGGGGCTGAAGCCAGGGAGCCAAGTGGTCTTGCTCAGTGGATCCCACCCCCATGAAACCAAACAAGCTAAGATCCACTGGCTTGAAATTCGCACTGACAGCACAGCAGTCCAAAGTTGACCTGGGACACTGGAGCTTTGTGGGGGGAGGGGCATCCACCATTACTGAGGCTTGAGTAGGTGGTTTTCCCCTCACAGTGTAAACAAAGTCTCCAGGAAGTTTGGACTAGACGAAGCCCACTACAGCACAGCAAAGCCGCTGTAGCCACACTGCCTCTCTAGATTCCAGCCCTCTGGGCAGGGCATCTCTGAAAGAAAGGTACAGTCCTAGTCAGGGGCTTACAGATAAAACTCCTATTTCCCTGGGACAGAGCACCTGAGGGAAGGGGTTGCTGTGGGCACAGCTTCAGCAGACTTAAACATTCTTGCCTGCCAGGTCTGAAGAGAGCAGAGGATCTCCCAGCACAGTGCTCAAGCTCTGCTAAGGGACAGACTGCCTCCTCAAGGGGGTTGCTGATCCCCATGACTCCTGACAGGGAGACACCTCCCAGCAGGGGTCAACAGACACCTCATACAGTAGAGCTCTGGCTGGCATCTGGCAGGTGCCCCTCTGGGGTGAAACTTCCAGAGGAAGGAGCAGGCAGCAATCTTTGCTCTTCTGCAGCCTCCAATGGTGATACCCAGGCAAACAGAATCTAGAGTGGGCCTCCAGAAAACGCCAGCAGACCTGCAAAAGAGGGCCCTGACTGTTAGACGGAAAACTAAGAAACAGAAAGCAATGACATCAACATCAACAAAAAGGACACCCAAGCAAAAACCCCATCCAAAGATCATCAGCATCAAAGATCAAAGGTAGATAAATCCACAAATATGAGAAAAAAACAGAGCAAAAATGCTGAAAATTCCAAAAACCAGAATGCCTCTTCTCCTCCAAAGGATCACAACTTCTCGCCAGCAAGGGCACAAAACTGGGTGAAGAATGAGTTTGACTAATTGACAGAAGTAGGCTTCAGAAGTTAAGTAATAACAAGCTCCTCTGAGCTAAAGGAGCATGCTCTAATCCATTGCAAGGAAGCTAAGAACCTTGATAAAAGGTTACAGGAACTGCTAACTAGAATAACCAGTTTAGAGAAGAAGATAAGTAACCTGATTGAGCCGAAAAACACAGCACGAGAAGTTCATGAAGCATACACAAGTATCAATAGTCAAATCTGTCAAGTGGAATAAAGGATATCAGAGATTGAAGATCAACTTAATGAAATAAAGTGTGAAGACAAGATTAGAGAAAAAAGGATGAAAAGTAATGAACAAAGCCTCCAAGAAATATGGAGCTATGTGAAAAGACTAAATCTACATTTGATTGGTGTACCTGAAAGTGATGGGGAGAATGGAACCAAGTTGGGAAACACTCTTCAGCACATTATCTAGGGGAACTTCCCCAACCTAGCAAGGCAGGCCAACAACCGAATTCAGGAAATACAGAGAACATGACAAAGATAGTTCTTGAGAAGAGCAACTCTAAGACATATAATCATCAGATTCATCAAGGTTGAAATGAAGGAAAAAATGTTAAGGGCAGCCACAGAAAAATGTTGGGTTACCCACAAAGGAAAGCCCACCACACTAACAACAGAACTCATTGCAGAAACCCTACAAGCCAGAAAAGAATTTTTAACCCAGAATTTCATATCCAGCCAAACTAAACTTTGTAAGTGAAGGAGAAATAAAATCCTTTACAGACAAGCAAATGCTGAGAGATTTTGTCACCACCAGGCCTGCCTTACGAGAGCTCATGAAGGAAGCACTAAATATGGAAAGGAAAAACTGGTACCAGCCACTGCAAAAACATACCAAAATGTAAAGATCATTGACACTATGAAGAAACTGCATCAACTAATGGGCAAAATAACCAGCTAGCATTATAATGACAAAATCAGATTCACACATAACAATCTTAGCCTTAAATGTAAATGGGCTAAACTCCCCAATTAAAAGACACAGACTAGCAAACTGGATACAGAGTCAAGACCCATTGGTGTGCTGTATTCAGGAGACTCATCTCACGTGTAAAGACAAACATAGCCTCAAAATAAAGGGATGAAGGAGTATTTACCAAGAAAATGAAAAGCAAAAATAAAGCTGAGGTTGCCATCCTAGTCTCTGATGAAACAGACTTTAAACCAATGAAGATCAAAAAAGACAAAGAAGGGCATTACACAAGAGTAAAGGGATCAATGCAACAGGAAGAGCTAAGCATCCTAAATATGTATGCACCCAATATAGGAGCACCCAGATAGATAAAACAAGTTCTTAGAGACCTACACAGAGATTTAGACTCCCACGCAATAATAGTAAGAGACTTTAACACCCCACTGTCAATATTAGACAGAACAATGAGACAGAAAATTAACAAGGATATTCAGGACTTAAACTAAGCTCTGGACCAAGCAAACCTAATAGGCATCCACAGAACTCTCCATCCTAAATCAACAGAATATACATTCTCCTCAGCAACACTTAGCACTTATTCTAAAATTGACCACATAATTGGAATTAAAACACTCCACAGCAAATGCAAAAGAACAGAAATCATAACAAACAGTCTCTCAGACCACAGTGCAATCAAACTAGAACTCAGGATTAAGAAACTCACTGAAAACAGCAAAACTACATGGAAACTGAACAACCTGCTTCTGATTGACTGGGTAAATAACAAAATTAAGGTAGAAATAAATAAGTTTTTTGAAACCAATGACAACAAAAACATAATGTACCAGAATCTCTGGGACACAGCTAAAGCAGTGTTTACAGAAAAATTTATAGCACTAAATGCCCACCTGAGAAAGTGGGAAAGATCTAAAATCGATGCCCTAACATTACAATTAGAAGAACTAGTGAAGGGAAAACAAACAAATTCAAAAGCTAGCAGAAGACAAGAAATAACTAAGATCAGAGCAGAACTGAAGAAGATAGAGACACAAAAAACCCTTCCAAAAATTCAATGAATCCAGGAGCTTGTTTTTGTGAAAAGATCAACAAGATAGATAGACCGCTAGCCAGAAAAATGAAGAAGAAAAGAGAGAATAATAAAATGGACAAATAAAAAATGATAAAGGGAATATCATCACTGATCCCACAGAAATACAAACTTCCATCTAAGAACATTATAAACACCTCTATGCAAATAAACTAGAAAATCTAGAAGAAATGGATAGATTCCTGGACACATACACCCTCCCAAGAATAAACCAGAAAGAAGTAGAATCCGTGAATAAATCAATAACAATTTCTGAAATTGAGGCAGTAATTAATAGCCTGCCAACCAAAAACAAGCCCAGGACCAGAAGGATTCATAGCTGAATTCTACCAAAGGTACAAAGAGGAGCTGGTACCATTCCATCTGAAACTATTTCAAACAACAGAAAAAGAGGGACTTCTCCCTAACTCATTTTATGAGGCCAGCATCATCCTGATACCAAAATCTGTCAGTGACACAACAAACAAAGAAAATTTCAGGCCAATATGCCTGATGAACATTGATGCAAAAATTCTCAATAAAATACTGGGAAACCAAATCCAGCAGCACATTATAAAGCTTTTCCATCACAATCAAGTCGGCTTCATCCCTGGGATGCAAGGTTGTTTCAACATACACAAATGGATAAACATAATCCATAACATAAACAGAACCAAAGACAAAAACCACATGATTAACTCAATAGATGCAGAAAAAGCCTTCGATAAAATTCAACACCCATTCATGCTAAAAACACTCAATAAACTAGGTATTGATGGAGGGTATCTCAAAATGATAAGAGATATTTATGACAAATCCACAGCCAATATCACACTGGATGGCAAAATCTGAAAGCATTCCCTTTCAAAACTGGCACAAGACAAAGATGGCCTCTCTCACCACTCCTATTGAAAATAATACTGGAAGTTCTGACCAGGGCAATCAAGCAAGAGAAAGAAATAAAGGTATTCAAATAGAAAGAGAGGAAGTCAAATTGTCTCTGTTTGCAGATAAGATGATTGTATATTTAGAATATCCCATCGTCTTAGCCCAAAATCTAAAGCTGATAAGCAACTTCAGCAAAATCTCGGGATACAAAATCATTGTGCAAATATCACAAGCATTCCCATACACCAATAATAGACAAACAGAGAGCCAAATCATGAATGAACTCCCATTCACAATTGCTAAAATTGCTACAATACCTAGGAATACAACTTAAAAGGGATGTGAAGGAACTCTTCAAGGACAGC
Source organism: Homo sapiens (assembly GCF_000001405.40). Lineage (NCBI taxonomy): Eukaryota > Metazoa > Chordata > Mammalia > Primates > Hominidae > Homo > Homo sapiens. The sequence goes on along the minus strand of NC_000004.12, from coordinate 131,399,309 downwards.
TACAAATCACTCCTCAAGGAAATAAGAGAGGACACAAACAAATGGAAAAACATTCCATGCTCACGGATAGGAAGAATAAGTATCATGAAAATGGCCATACTGCCCAAAGTAACTGATAGATTCAATGCTATTCCCATTAAGCTACCATTGACTTTCTTCACAGAACTAGAAAAAAACTACTTTAAATTTGATGTGGAACCAAAAAGGAGCCCATATAGCCAAGAAAATTCTAAGCCAAAAGAACAAAGCTGGAGGCAGCATGCTACCTGACTTCAAATTATACTACAAGGCTACAGTAACCAAAACAGCATGGTACTGTTACCAAAACAGATATATAGACCAATGGAACAGAACAGAGGCCTCAGAAATAACACCACACATCTACAACCATCTGATCTTTGACAAACCTGACAAAAACAAGCAATGGGGAAAGGATTCCCTATTTAATAAATGGTACTGAGAAAACTGCTTAGCCATATGCAGAAAACTGAAACTGGACCCGTTCCTTACACCTTATACAAAAATTAACTCAAGATGGATGAAAGGCTTAAATATAAGACCTAAAACCATGGATACCTGAGAAGAAAACTGAAACAAATCCATTCAGGATATAGGCATGGGCAAAGACTTCATGGCTAAAATACCAAAAACAATTGCAACAAAAGCCAAAATTGACAAATGGGATCTAATTAAACTAAAGAGCTTCTGCAGAGCAAAAGAAACTATCATCAGAGTGAACAGGCAATCTACAGAATGGGAGAAAATTTTTGCAATATATCTATCTGACAAAGGGCTAATAGACAGAATCTACAAGGAACTTAAATTTACAAGAAAAAAACAAACAACCCCATCAAAAAGTGTGCAAAGGATATGAATAGACAATTTTCAAAAGATGACATTTATGAGGCCAAGAAAGGTATGAGAAAAACTCGTCATTACTGGTCATTAGAGAAATGCAAATCAAAACCACAATGAGATACCATCTCATGCCAGTTAGAATGGCGATCACTAAAAAGTCAGGAAACAACAGATGCTGGAGAGGATGTGGAGAAATAGGAATGCTTTTACACTGTTGGTGGGAGTGTAAATTAGTTCAATCATTGTGGAAGACAGTATGGCTATTCCTCAAGGATCTCGAAGTAGAAATTTGTCCCAGCAGGATTATAAATCAGTCTACTATAAAGACACATGCACACGTATGTTTATTGCAGCACTATTCAAAATAACAAAGACTTGGAACCAACCCAAATGCCCATCAATGACAGATCAGATAAAGAAAATGTGGCACATATACACAGTGGAATACTATACAGCCATAAAAAATAATGAGTTCATGTCCTTTGCAGGGACATGGATGAAGCTGGAAACCATCATTCTTAGCAAACTAACACAGGAACAGAAGATCAAACACCGCATGTTCTCATTCATAAGTGGGAGTTCAACAATGAGAACATATGGGCACAGGAAGGGGAACATTGCACACTGGAGCTTATCAGGGGTTGGGGGATGGGGAAGGATAGCATTAGGAGAAATACTTAAGGTAGACTATGGGTTGATGGGTGCAGCAGACCACCATGGCACATGTATATTTATGAAATAAACCTGTACGTTCTGCACATGTATCCCAGAACTTAAAGTAAAATAAAAAAAAAAAACTTAGTGATTACTCAAGATTCTGCAAGACAAATGTATTTTAAATACTAAATATATGAATTTATAATTATTGCATGTATTATAAATTTAAAATAATAGTGAACATTAAAGTATATAAATAAGCATACAAGTCAATACAATCAGTAGTCATTTACATACAAACTTTAAAAAGTCTTAATATTGTGTCATATCAGTTCTTGTTTTTATGAAAAATAAAATGCTACATATGTACTTGAGACCACTGTGATAATCTCCTTGACAACATTCTCCGCACTCCGTTTCAGAGATAACCACTACCATTAAATCAGGATATATCATTCTTTTCCATGTTTTTAGAATATATTCACCCATGAACAGGTTTTTAATTGTTTATAAATGGTATCAACATATATGAATATATATAAAGTGGCATCAACATGTATGAATATTCTGTAATATACTTTTTTGATTTTTTTATAGATTTATACTTGTTGATATATGTAGTTTTAGTTTTTTCTATAAAAACCTCATCTTGTAAATAAGCTTTAATTGCTCTCTTCATGAAATTTTAGATTGTTTAAACATTTTCATGTAACACACAATAGTCCAATAAATATTTTTATGGAAGTTCCTTTGTACACAGGAATTTCTATGAGGCATTTACAATATGAACAAAAGTTAGATTTCTATAGCATTTCAAAATAATCTTCAAGTGAGACACTGCAAAGCCTGAAAAGTGTTTGACAAATTTGCTCTTCACTAGAATAGCATAGAGTTCTTTTTGCTCCATATCTGGACCAACATGTATAATAATATCACCATCGATGTATATGACATCTGATAGGTATGATATGCTACCTTCTTTTAATATGAATTTATTAAAAAGTTGAAAATATTTTTATATAGTTTACTGGCCATTTGAGTTTATTCTTCTTAAAGTCAACAATCAAACATTATGATCACTATTTTCTATTGGTTCTTTTATTTATTTCAAATACTCTTTGTATATTTTAAATATCTATCCTTTTAAATATTTATACATTTAAGACACCTTCTTCCAGATTTTAACTTGTGTATGTTATAGATAATTATTTTCTCTACAGATATTTATATCTCTATATCTACAGATATATATATATCTATCTACAGATATATAAATATAAATTTTTTTAACTCTTTTCAAAGGAAAATATATTTAATAAAATATATCGGTAGTTTTCTTTATGATTTATACTTTGTTGTGTTTGTTGTGTGTGCTTTAAGATCTTTCCTCACAAGTTCAAAATTAAGCAACATTGCTTTCTGCTGCTCTAAACCTGTTCCACTCAACAAAAACATACTCTATGTGTGTTCCTGAGGACTGAAATTTTTGCAATTTCAGTTGAGAAGTATTTGCAATTTCTAGATCAAGAAATGTGGAGAGTCAACTCTGAATGACACTGACTTCAACAGATACACTGAATAATAGATATAAGCAAGAAAAAAGAAAATAGAATTAAGATTCAAATACAAGATAGTCATATTTGTTAACCAGAAATGTAATAGTAAAACAAAACACTGAGCATAGCTAAATAAAACTGAAGACCTATAGAAATTCAGGCAATAAAACTGTGTAGTGGAGTTTAAGAAATTGGTTCCTATGAAAGATGGGAGGTTTAGCTTTAAGCCTGTTGATGAGAAAAGCCAAACTCTGTACAATATTTGAAGAGGTTTATTCTGCAAGTGTAAATAAGAGGGCGGCCCATGAAACAGCCTCAGGAGGTCCTGGGAACATGTGCCCAAGGTGGTTGGGTTACAGCTTGGTTTTATACATTTCAGGGAGTCAGAAGTTACAGGCAAATACATAAAGCAATAACATTGGTTCAGCCTGGAAAGATGAGACACACTGAAGGATGGAGAGTAGGGTCTTGCAGGTCATAGGTGGATTCAAAGATTTTCTGATTGGCAATTGGTTGAAAGACTTAAACTTTGCTTGAAGAGCTGAAGGCAGCATAAAGAAATGCTACAGTTAAGATAAATAGGGTTGTGAAAGCCAAGGTTCTTGTTACATAGATGAAGCCTCTAAGTAGTAGGCTTCAGAGATAGTAGATGGTAAATGTCTCTTATCAGACCTTGAGGGACTCAGGGGGTTAAGAATTTCATTTTTGGTTTAGAAGCCCCAATTTGAAGCCAGGGCTGGGACTACCTCTACTCTTGAGAATGGCTATAGATAACTAAATGGTGTTATAACAGAGAAAGAATTATTAAATTCCAATACAGTATACAACTGCTCTTTCAAGACCAAAGAACATAAATAAAGTTTTAAAGGTAATCCACTTGAAAATATGCAATAATTTTGTATTTTTAAATAATGATATAATTAACAACCAACTGATGAATTTCTATGTAAATGCAGTTTTATTGTCCTGCTCAGGTAACACCTGATTAGTGGGTATGAGTGAGTCCTTGACGCCTTGGTATATTCATTTCTAATTATCAGCCTAAAGTTTTTCTGGTGTGTAACTCCTCAGAGGACACTTTGTGAAAAATATACCCTGCTCTTAGATTTGACAACCATAATCAGGAGTACTAACCTCCTCAATTATGCAACATACAGAGACTGAATTATTTCCCCTTTCTAATTCTAATTGCTACCATGCTTAATGATAGCAATTGCATAATGATTACTCTTATTTCTGAATAATTCTCAATTTTCTATTTAGTTTTAAAATTAAATATGGTTTATCATGCATACAAAAATTATTACATTATAAGGTGAACATTGCTATGTTTCAGATACTTAATCATAACCCTTCCTCCAGAGTTACCTTTAGAAAGATAATGTTTGGAAGCCTGTGTTAAAGGGTGGGGAGAGCTTTAAGGAAAATAGGAAAAGAAAGCATAAATCATGTTAGCCTATTCCAAAAAGGATTCAGAAAATCTTTTAACTCTTTTCAAAAGAAAACTAATAAAAAGTTAAAATACAAATTCAGTGTGCTTTAAAGATTGGAATTAAGTTGACTTTTGTATTGATACAAAAGACCTACAAAATGTCAAAGATCTTCTATATTATATGTTTTTATATATGACTACAAATGGAACATAAAAACATTTAAACCTGCTAAGTACAAGTAATTTATTTATTATGGTTTTATGTCTTGAAGGCTTTCTCTAGTCCTTCTGAATAAACTCTGAAGGAGATAAATTTGATCTATAGCAGGTTATTGGAGTGAACAGAAATATCATTTACAAATTTCAGCATTCAAACGTTAAAAACACATGATTTCATAACAATAAATTGCTCATATTGGCTTGTCTGTGAAAACTGGAAAACCTATTATAAGAGTGTATCATTTAAGAATAGTAATAATTCCATGTTCTTTGGAATGTATAAGTGTCATTATTTACTATTGTTTTGAACTGTTTTTAATATTTCAGTTACCTATTCACCCCACTCCAGATAAAGTGAAAATCTGAAAAACAAAAGAAACCCAAATGCTGTCATAAATCATAAAATCAGAACTCAGAGAAAATATGACAGAATAAACAGTAGTCATTTTTCTTTTATTAGTTAATATCTAATGGCAATGATACTATTTCTGAAATTATGCCTTTCTCAAAGAAATTTATTTTGATCAAAAAACCATCATTCTCAGCAAACTATCGCAAGGACAAAAAACCAAACACCGCATGTTCGCACTCATAGGTGGGAATTGAACAATGGGAACACTTGGACACAGGAAGGGGAACATCACACACTGGGGCCTGTTGTGGGGTGGGGGGAGAGGGGAGGGATAGCATTAGGAGATATACCTAATGCAAATGACAAGTTAATGGGTGCAGCACACCAACATGGCACATGTATACATATGTAACAAACTTCCACGTTGTGCACATGTACCCTAGGACTTAAAGTACAATAATAAAAAAAAAAGAACTACCATATGATCCAGCAATCCCACTAGTGAGTGTATATCCAAAGGAATTTAAATCAGTATATAGCAGAGATATCTGCACTCCTATGCTTATTGCAGCAATAAGCTTTGGAATCAACCTAAATGTCCATAAATGGATGATTGGATAAAGAAAATGTGGTATATATACATGATGGAATAGTGTTCATCAATAAAAAATAATGAAATCATGTTTTTTGCCACAATATGGATGCAACTGGCAGCCATTATCTTAAGTAGAACCCAGAAATAGAAAGTCAAATATCACATGTTCTCAGTTCTAAGTGGGAGCCAAATAATGGGTACACATGAACATAGAGTGTGTAATGATAGACATTTGAGACTCAAGAAAGGTGGGATGGTGGGAGGGGGTGGGGTATGAGAAAATAATGAGTAAAACATACATCATATCATTATTATCTTTATAGTATATCCATTTAGATGGATATACTAAAAGCCCAGTCTTCATCACTATTTAATATATCGATGTAACAAAACTGTCCTTGTGTCCCTTAAATTTATACAAATAAAAATAAATTTAAAAAATAGTTTAAATATAGTCTTGAAATTTTTACAATTGTTTCTTTCACATGATTGTTGAACATTTGTGTACATCATATGATGTCTCCCTCTCCTTCCCCCAATGATGTTCATGTCCTAATTATGAGAACCTAGGCACATGCTCAAATTTCTGTCATTATAAATTAGTTTGTTTTTTACCACTTTACAGAAGTGGAATCTTTCAATATGTACTCTTTTACATGGTGCATTTCACTCAATATGATAATTTAAAGAGTTATCTTAAAAATGTGGGTACAGGTACTAACAGTACTTTTCATTTACATTGCTGAGATGAATTTCATTGTATGGAGATGCCACAATTTGTTCATACATTCATGTGTGTGGACATTTGGTTTGTTTTCATATTTTGATTATCACAAGAAATCAGTTATAAACAGTCATATACAAGTCCTTGCATGGATACATGCTTTTGTCTTGTACACATACCTAGGAATGAAATAGCTAGGCTATAAGCTAGATGCATATAATTTTTAAACAATCTGCCAAAGTGATTTCTAAAGTGGCTGCCATGTTACATTGCTACAAGGAGTGTATGAGCTCAAGTTTCATAGTAGCCTTGCCAACACTTGCAACACTGTTAAATATATTTTTAACTTTGAGCTATTGTAGCAGTTGTATAGTTGTATCTCATTGTGGTTTTAATTACATTAATTAAAATGATGTGGAAAATGTTTAAAATGATGTTGAAAATGTTTCTGTGGTCATATTTACACACACAAATATATATAATCTTGTGACATAGCTGCAAATTTTTCGCATTTAGCTATAGATTTTTAAATTTTTTTATGGTTTCTATTGAGTTTTGAAAGTTCTTTATGAATTATTAATGCAAAACCTTTGTTACTTACATTACTTGTAAATCTTTTCTCCTCCAGGCTGTAGCTTTTTTTTTTAAATGGAATCTCGCTCTGTTGCCAGGATGGAGTGCAGTGGTGTGATCTTGGCTCACTGCAGCCTCCGCCTCCCACGTTCAAGCAATTCTCTCCTGTCTCAGCCTCCCAAGTAGCTGGGACTACAGATGCACACCACCATGCCCAGCTAATGTTTGTATTTTTAGTAGGGATGGGGTTTCACCATGTTGGCAAGGATGGTCTCGATTTCCTGACCTCAAGTGATCCACCTGCCTCAGCCTCCCAAAGTGCTGAGATTACAGGCGTGAGCCACCACACCCGGCCCGTAGCTTGCTTTTTTAATTCTATTACTTGTATATTTAAAAAGAAGAAGATTCTCATGTTAATGAAGTAGAACTTATCAAAATTTTTCTTTTATGTATATTTTTGGTGGTTTCATTTCATCTTAAATGAAATAAAACAATGTTTACTTAAGCAAATGTCTTTAAGATTTTTTCTTGAGTTTCCTCTTAGATGTTGTATAAATTTTCAATTTATATTTAGTTTTATGAGCCATTTGTCCTAAATAGATGGACCTAGATCCTCCTAAGGTAGTCAGGAGTTGTCAAGAATGTATGTGAAGAAACTACCAGAAGTTAGGCAACAAATCACCAATAAGAATTAGTGAAAACAGCACCAAGGGATTACACAGTCCCAATAAGAATTAGTGAAAACAGTACCAAGAGATTACACAGGCCAGGAGACTGACAGCTTTCTCCAGGTAATACACAAAACCTGATGATTCAAAGGGATTGGTGATAATAGTCAAAGAGTTTTGCCTCAGTAGTACGTGATAATTACCCGTAGACAAAATGCTGCTGTTGTCTCATCTTACAAATCTTCAAAGTAAGTCCTTAAAAAATGAAATTATTTCCCAATAACTTATCTGTATGATAGAACAAAGCTAAAAGACATTAATACAAATATAAATGTATACAGCATCCTGAAAGGCAAAAATCACAATATATAGCATTCAATTGAAATTAGCAGACATGCAAAGAAGCATTAAAATAAATACACGCTGTTCAAAATAAAACATAGACCTGATTATCAGCGTCTAGGGTTGTTGTCTCCCATAAACAATGGGCAGAGCATCATGTGTTAGGAATGGCTATTCAGGCCACATCAATGGTCCAGGCCCATTTGTCATGACCAACTCTTAAACATACTAATATAGCATATTTCATTTGACTCTTGGTTTTTGTCACACCATGGCCTGAGTATTTGATCAGGCCACTGGCAAGCCTTAGACTAGGATATAAAATAAAGTTCCCTGTGGAAACAAGACATTTGTGCAAAAATCAGATCTGCTACTTATAAACTCATTGTTACTTATGTGGATGATCACTACAAAGAACCCTATGCTAGGCCAGGCGTGGTGGCTCATGCCTGTAATCCCACCACTTTGGGAGGCCAAGGAGGGCGGATCACGAGGTCAGGAGATTGAGACCATCCTGGCTAACATGGTGAAACCCCGTCTCTACTGAAAATACAAAAAAAAAAAAAAAACACTTAGCCGGGCGTGGTGGAGGGCGCCTGTAGTCTCAGCTACTCGGGAGACTGAGGCAGGAGAATGGCATGAACCTGGGAGGCGGAGCTTGCAGTGAGCCGAGATCACGGCACTGCCCTCCAGCCTGGGCGACAGAACGAGACTTTGTCTCAAAAAAAAAAAAAAAAAAAAAAGAACCCTATGCTAGGCCAGGCGCGGTGGCTCAAGCCTGTAATCCCACCACTTTGGGAGGCTGAGTCAGGTGAATCACGAGGTGAAGAGTTTAAGAACCGCCTGGCCAAGATGGTGAAATCGCATCTCTACTAAAAATACAAAAATAAACCAGGCGCGGTGGCAGATGCCTGTACTCCCAACTACTCAGGAGGCTGAGGCAGGAGAATAGCTTGAACTCAGGAGGCAGAAGTTGCAGTGAGCAGAGATAGTACCACTGCACTATAGCCTGGGAGACAGAGCAAGACTGTCAAAAACAAACAAACAAACAAACAAACAAAACCTATGCTGATAAATGGTAGCAAACCCAACCTCATCAGCTGAACATGAGACTGAATTATTCTCCCAGAACAAGCACATGTAGAATTGATAGCCTTCTGGATCTGTAAGAGAACAGCCCATGGAAATTCAGACACCATCCTACCTTGAACCTAGAGACACAAACTGCTACTCTATCAGAAGACAATCTGTTTAGTCTATTTGCACTACTAAGAAAGAATGCCAGAGATTGGGCAATTTATAAAGAAAAATTGTGGGGTGTTTTGTTTGTTTTCTGTTTCTTAGAAACCAAAATGTTTTAATGGCTCACGGTTCTGCAGGGCATTCAGGAAGCATGGTGCCAACATCTGTTTCTGGTGAGGGCCACAGAAAGCTTACAATCATGGCAGAAGGTGAAGGGGAAGCAGGTGTGTCACATGGTGTGAGAGACAGCAAGAGGAGTGTAGATGCCAGGCTTTTTTTACAAAATCAGATCTCATGTGAACTCATTATGGTGGGGAGTGTACCAAGGCATTCAGGAGAAATCCTCTTTCATGACCCAAACACCTCCTACCAGGCCTCACCTCCAACATTGGAAATCATATATTAACATGTAGTTTGGAAGGGACAAGTATCCAAACCATATCAACACCACCAAAACAAAACTGCCCTACCTGCCACATCCTGGTCAAAGGGATATATCTCTTGAGCCAGTGAGGAAGGGACTTCTTGGCAAATAGATCACACCAGGCTTCCCATCCCATCTACAGGGTTCCACTGAATCAACACTTTTTTTGGATTCCGATGTTTTCCATTAACTCAAGCCACACTATCCAGTCCTGGCAAGTCCACATTTGTTTTCTGTTTATGTTCCCTCAGCACAATGCATCTGTTAATAGCCCCATATTTGCAGCCAAAGCTGCATATCACTGAGCTCATGGATCCTATGATAGAATCTCCATGTTCCACAACAATCCCAACATGCAGGGGTGGTTAACCTTTCAATTCATAATTAAATGATAGACTTAATTGATGACTGGGAGGAAACAAGAAAACCAGCCTAGACTGTACATCATGGGGAAGCAATGTAGGGTCTCATTGCAGCAATTCCCTAAAAAAGGCACTTCTCATTTGCTACTTATATTTGACCATGCTGCCACCCCCTTTTCAATGTTATACCTTTCTTTTATAATTATTGATATGTAATTCTCCATGCGTGACCCTATCATGGCCTTTCATTCTCTTCTACCCTTTTATGAAGGCTCAAATTGATAGCAGACCAGAATGGCTTTAAACAGGAAGGACTGAAAGAGGTTATGCAAACCCATTTTAAATTTTTCAGAATTTTGTCCCAATCAATTCTTAAACATATTGTGTCTTTCTGGATATATTGTATAAAAACTACTTATGTTAAACTGCTTTTATTTTACATCTTGCTTGTAACTCTTTTGAATAAAAAGTCTGGTGAGAATAGCAGAAAATTAAGAAAGTAAGAAATTTTGATTATTGAATGAAGCAACAAAGTGGCAGTGGGCAAACAAACAAACAAAGCCCCAGCTGACACCTGGGGAGATGTGTGTGGTGGGGTGAAGGTAGGGTCAGGCCAAGACATTAATGATCTTTATTTTCCAGATCAGCTTCTGACAGTTTTCTGTTCATTCTGGGGAAAGACACACATAAACACACACACACACACACACACACACACACACCACCATCACCACCTCCCTGCACTACCTTTCTAAACTGCTGTGAACACATCAAGTTCAAAGTGACTGCTGCGACTAGGATCACACCTGATAATGCTGATTATGAGACAGCAGGGGGTGACCTCAGCTCTTGGATTTTCCACGGAGAACACCTCCAGATGTCATTCACACTCCTGAGGTTGATAAACTAATGTCATGAACAAATAAAACTGTTCACAACTGACTGTCTCAGTTAGTCCTTTTGAAAGCAAGGACTAAATTAAATTCTTCTGAGTGGACAAAAAACCCCATGGTGAAAGAACATCATGGGGGTGCTGTTAACCTGACTGACTAAATAATGTATATCCTGATCAGGATGCCCTAACAGTGTAAACTATTTATTTACAGTGGCACCATGTATGCCCGCTGGGATTGTACTTTATGTTTATACCCTGACCATCATGACACAGCGTCAATCCTAGAAAGCATTTAGGGCAGCTTTAACTTACTGGCCAGAGCTGTGCTATGACTGATTAATGTCTCAGGCCAGATTTTAAAAATAATCATATAAAAACATAAGAAGATTGGTGTATTGGTCCATTTTCATGCTGCTGATAAAGACATACCTGAGACTGGGCAATTTACAAAAGAAAGAAGTTTAATTGGACTTACAGTTCCACATGGACTTACAGTTCCACATGAACTTACAGTTCCACATGGCTGAGAATGAAAGGCCGTGATAGGGTCACGCATGGAGAATTACATATCAATAATTATATTAAAAAAAGGTACAACATTGAAAAGGGGGTGGCAGCATGGTCAAATATAAGTAGCAAATGAGAAGTGCCTTTTTTAGGGAATTGCTGCAAGCCCTGTTTTACATGGATGGCAGCAGGCAAAAAGAGAATAGGATGATGCAAAAGCAGAAACCCTTGATAAAACCATCAGACCTTGTGAGATTCACTACGATGACAACAGTATGGGGGAACTGCCTCCATGATTCAATTATCTTCCACCAGGTCCCTCCCATAACACGAGAGTTATAGGAATATAATTCAAGATGAGATTTGGGTGGGGACACAGAACCGAAGCATATCAATTGGTCTCTTGGATCTCTAGAATAGATTCTATTGGGCTTTGGGACATCTTTTTCTGACTTAATAATGACTGGAACTTATGGCTATATTCACTCTTCCATGGCATGTCTGATTACCCTACTTAAAGTTTAGTCATCATTCTGGTCATTAACTGTTGTCTGAGAAAAATTAACTAGTGTAATTATAGTCCCTTAAATTGAACTGTTTTGATTCCTATGAGGTAGCCTATGCTTCAGGCTCAGGCTCTGAAGAATCAAGTGGCAGAGTTGAAGAGTCTGGTTCTGGGGCAGAATCCTATGTGTGATACTTTAGGCCTGACCTTTGCAATTAGGCAATTTCAAAGACTTTACTGGTAGGCCTCATAGGGAAAGTTGCCCTCCTCATCAGACTTGGTGCACAGCCAGTGCATTTTACTTTTCTGGAGAGAGTTACAGTCAAGCACTAAGGCATCCACCAGTACAGCCATGCTCATATGTATTTCTGCATTCTTAGCCTAGGAGATTCCTGTTGGAGGTCTCCTTGTTGTGAATCTTTGGCTGAAGGCTTTTCAAGAACCTCAAAGAAGGTCTTGTTGAGGGGTGATTGTAGACTTGACTAAGATACTTTTTTCCTCCAATCTTAGTCAGTACTTTTCCACTCCTAGCCCTTCTTCCTCTCCCTCACCTGTCCTATTCCTGGATTCATAATGCAGAAGGAGCCTTGTATGTAGGGCTTTTCAGCAGGGAGATGATTCTATTCCCCGCTCCTGGGCTTCATGTCATCTGACAGAACCTTGTCCAGTGTCATTCTATTGGGAAAAATGAAGCATTAGGGAAACAATCAACAGCATGGTACTGTTAAAAAAATATATAAAAAAAAAACAGGCACATAGACCAATGGAACATAATAGAGAGCCCAGAAATAAGGCCATACATCTACTACCATCTGATCTTTGACAAAGCTGACAAAAACAACAATGGGGAAAAGACTCCATATTCAATAAATGGTGCTGGGATAATTGGCTAGCCATATGCAGAAAATTGAAGCTAGACTCCTTCCTTACACCATAAGTAAAAATTAACTCGAGATGGATTAAAGACTTAAATATAAATCACAAAACTATAAAAACCCCAGAAGACAGCATAGGCAATCCCATCCAGGACCTAGGAACAGGCAAAGATTTGGCAAAGATAAAAAAAGCAATCAACAAAAGCAAATTTGACAAATGGGATCTAATTAAACTTGAGAGTTTTTGCACAGCAAAAGAAACTATCAACAGAGTAAGCAGAAAACCTACAGGATGGGAGAAAATTTTTGCAAACTATGCATCTGACAAAGGTCTAATACCCAGCATCTGTAAGGAACATAAACAAATTTACAAGAGAAAAACAACCCCATTAAAAAGTGGACAAAACACATGAACAGACACTTCCTAAAAGAAGACATGTATGTGGCAAAAAAACATGAAAAAAAGCTCAGCATCACTGATCATTAGAGAAATGCAAATCAAAACCACAATGAGATATATCATCTCACACCGGTCAGCATGGCAATTATTAAAAAGCCAAGAAACAACAGATGCTGGCAAGGTTGCAGAGAAAAGGGAACCCTTACATACTGTTGGTGGGAGTGTAAATTAATTCAACCATTGTGGAAAGCAGTATGGCAAATCCTCAAAGAGATAAAAGCAGAATTACCATTTAACTCAGCAATCCCATTACTGGGTATATAACGAGAAGAATATAAAACATTTTACCATAAAGACACACGCACACGCATGTTAATTGCAGCAATATTCACAATAGCAAAGACATGGAATCGACTTAACTGCCCACACTGGATAAAGAAAATGTGGTACATACACACCATGGAATATTATGCAGCCATAAAAAAGAATAAGATCTTGTCTTTTGTAGAAACATGGATGAAGCTGGAGATTATTATCCTTAGCAAACTCACACAGAAACAGAAATCCAAATATTGAATGTTCTCATTTATAAATGAGACCTAAATAATAGGAACTTATGAATACAAAGAAAGATTCAACAGACACTGGGGTCTACTTGACACTAGCGGGTGACGGGAGAGAAGCTGAAAAGATAACTATTGGGTACTGAGCTTAATACCTGTGTGATGTAATAATAAGCACAACAAACTCCCATGACACATGTTTATATATGCAACACACCTTCACATGTACCCCCAAATGTAAAATAAAAATTAAAAAGAAAAAAAAGAAACAATCCTTTTTTTCTCTTTGTCTCTTTCTTTCCTGTACTATTGTAGTAAGTGAATAAAGTTTTGTTACTTTCCATTTGGCTCATTGCCCTAATTGACCAATTAACACCTTATGCCCTGACAAATGGCTGATTATAAAATTCACATGGAATGGAAAGGACATTCATTAGCCAAAGTAACTTTGAGAAAGAAGAAAGCTTTAGACAGACTTGTTATAAAGCTGCAGTGACTGAGAGCTTGTGGTGCTGGCCATAAGATAGATCAAGTAGGATGAATACAGAGTTCAGAAATAGATCCACATTTGTGTTCACATATCATTTTTTGCAAATGTACAAAGGCAACTCAGTAATGTGTGGATAATCTTTTCAGCAAATGATACTGGGACGATTGTATCTTCTTTTGAAGAAGAAAAGGACAAAGTAAAAGAAGAAGATGAGGATGACGAAAAGATGAAGGAGGATGAGAAGGAGGAGAAAGAGGAGAAAAGAGGGGGAGAACTATTTTTCAGTTTTTTTCTCTGTGCACCTCTCTTCTCTTTGATACTTTGCCCTGCATATTCTACCCACTTGGCTTTCTCTGAGTTCTCAGAGTTATCACGTGAACTCAGGGCAGCTAATAAGCTCCACTTTGTTTTCCCTTCCATGTGCTATAGCTTTGAAGTGACCTGGGATTAAGGTAGAGTGTGATTTGTTCCCAGTGTTTCAAGGATTGCTGTTTTCCATTGATCGATGCCTAATATGCTGAAATATATTACTTCATATATATATACATATATATTTCTATATCCTCATATTTTATTAATTTCAGGTATAAGGATAAGTAGGATGTTGTTACTCCAAAATCAAAATCCTACAAGATCAATTGAGTAATCTTTCTAATTTATGCTTCATATCCAGAGCATAATAGAGCTCTCTGCTGTCATGTGCCTTTTTGTATTGGGCAGTTTCATCAAGGAGATAGAAATTGTATCAGCAAATGGAATAAGAAGCATCTAATATGAAGAATTATTAACTAGCTATACCTAATTAACTACTAAAACTGCATAGACAAAGCTAAAGAATACAGACATAACAAGTGTAAGGAATAATCTATAACCTCTAGGATCAAGGACAAATGCTAAAGAGACAAACTTAAAAAAATGAGATTCAAACTTTATTAAACAAGGTATGGTGTGGCCTACTAGATATCAAAGATGTTTACTGAGATGTCATAGATTGAAACAGAGAAGTAGAAAACTTCCCACTCAGGTACAAGGAAAACTCTAGGAAACCACTGAGTAAGTTGACAATGAGCCTCCCTAGAAAGGCACCTGCTGGGTGATGGAAAATCTCTCAGAGAATCTGCCTGCTGCGCACTGATGAAACACACTGGGAATCCTCTTCCAAGGCCACTGCTAAAACTTTCTTCAATTTGGGTGCCCTTAAGTCTCCTACAGAAAACTTCCATGGAATCTGGAGCCTGACTTGAATACTCTGCTGCTGCCAACTTTGCCATGGGAGCATAAAATAAATGATCACAACCACAAAGAGAAGTTCCTTCCTCGTTCAGTGTTCTTCTGGTGCTCTCCATTTCCAAGACCTAACGTTGCACCAGTTGGCAAAGAAGAAATATTTACAAGGTCCTTCTCTTGTATTAAAGTCAGGACATAGAAGGGTTGATCTCGATCTGGGAAACAACAAATTGATTGTTGCAACAGTTTCTTACATCCCACAATATAAAATCATTTTCCTTTTTTAATACTCTTCTTGGTACCGGTGTGATTGTTTCCAAATGTCCATCTCTTTCAACATAGTCTTAGAAGAATGAAAGGCAAAGTCTTTTTGTATGTGTTTAAGATTTGTATAGTAATCTCATAAATTAGATAGTACTAGGCACAAAGAATCCAGTAAATATATAAATATACATATACACACATATAAATATATGTGTATATTTTTATATTTAACAAAGGAAGAATAGTATTCTAGATAAAACAATGGACATGTTGACAGAAACACATGCAAGATAATGAAGGAAAACATGGCTCTTGTTTAAAACTACAAGTAGTTACATTGTTATTTGGGGAGAGGGAGTAACAGGAATTGGATTGGTATTGGTTGGAGAGAAAAGCTAAATCTAATGTTGTTTACAGGTAAAAGGATATGTAAGATCTACCCATTCCTTCAAATATCTTATGACCTCATTGGTGTAACAGTAGATATTCACAGACATGGATTTAATAGCAAACAAAAATGAAATGAGCTGAATGACTCCGTCAGCAAAAATAATTAATGTGCTGACTAAAACGTATTTTAAAACACAAATACAAGCTTCCTTGAAAATGATGAATATGCTGAGCTTTAAAATAAAATGAGAAACTCAGAGGTTATGAATAACGCCTTCAATGAACCTTATCCTAAGGGTCGCTGTAAAATGCTGGACACTTGGAGTTTTCCTATCAAGGAACTCATGAAATATAGAGAAAGTAATAAGGCCAGGATGGCTTTGCATTAAGGAATCCAAAACAATATAGCAGCACACAGATGGTTCCACAAAGAGCTGGACTGCATCATAACTTGGAACAAGAAATAAACATCACTCTGCAAGGAAACTGAGTAGAAAAAAAGAGTTGTCTCTAAGAACTGGTTATCATAATCTTTCCCAAATGCAAACTTTCAATCCAATTTCTTGGTGTCTGAGTATTATCAAAAATCTTAAGTGAGAAACACAGTTAAAAATTTATCCAATTTGATAGCAACCACAAAAAACTTGCAGACATTAAGCAAAACTTATACGGAAAAACTCAGGTTAAATGATGTAAGCAGATAGAAAACAGAAATTGTGAAACACATAGGGAAATAAGTCACCATGATTGAGAAGCAGCAGAAACAAGAAATGGCAAAAGCATAACATAGATATTTCAGGTATCAGACTTGTAAAATGAATATTAAAAAAAAACTTCCAAAATAGAAAAGTATGATTTATAAATTACAAAAACAAATAACAATGAAGATCTGATTAAGGAATTAAGCATATTTTAATAAAAAATAAGCAAACTAGAAATTAGAACTGAAAAATTCACGCATAATGTTTATGGAAAAAAAAACCTAGATGAAATATTTAAAACATGACATAGGAGACACAGGTAAAAAAAGATGAGGCGCGCGCACACACACACACACACACACACACACACATATATATAATAAAATTATTAGAAATTATTAGAAAATGAGAGGCATTGTTTGAGGAGACAACTGATGATAATTCTCTGATAATTCTCTACAACTGTTGGAAAACAATAATTATCAGGTTCAGGAAAAGAAATGAGTTAAGAAGTTTAAATATAGTCTTAAATAGTAAACACGTAGAAAATAAAAAAAGTATGAAAATACCTACAAAAAAACATAATGTGAATGAAAGACATCTTTTACACAAAGTGTAAAAGCCTACTACACAGATACATACGCAAGACCCATTTAAAAGAGAACATTTTCTGAAGTAGTTTCTGGGTGAAGAGGGAAAAGATTTCAAATAGAAAAGCTGTGCTTTAACAAAGAGTAATGACATTGGTAAATCTAAATAAACAATAACTGCCTAACATAATAATATATCTAATAGGACAAAGTTTAAACTAAAGTACTAGACTAGGAAAACTTGTAATGTTTAGTAGGTTATCTAAATTATTCTGATATCTGGCCAAGAGGAGTGTAAGACGTTGGTTAATTAATATTGAAATTGTTAATGTTTCAAGTAAGAGAAGGAATTAAAATCGGAAAAATATTTTAAAAGATAAGGGGAATGCAAATGTAAAGATGTTTAAAATATACAAGTTGTAAAATAAGATATCAGAAATAAATTAAAAACGGGAAATTAGTAAAAATGAAAAAGTACTAACTACACAAACTAAAAGAAAGTCTTGTGACATTACATTTTATTAATAAATGAATCCATCTAAATTGAATCCATCTATTTATTTATTAATCCAATGGATTTATTAATAATCCAATGGATGTATTAATCCAATCCATTTATTTATTAATAAATGAATCCATCTAAATTTACTTTTACACTTAAAATGTGAAACCTCAGCAAAATTCAAAGTCTTATGGAACAATATGAGAACAATATAAAATATGTAGCAGACAAATAATAACCATAATAATTCTGGAGTTGTCATGTCAATACGCATTATTTTAAAGCAAAATTTATGCTTGAATTAAATAGGTTTACTACATAGTATGCACTTATAACTATCCAGATTCTATGTTTGGATGCACCAAATACAGGGTCCGAAAAATGTATACATTCAAAACCCACAGTTTTGGATAGAGAACTGTACTAACATTGGGAGATTTTAATATTCTTCAATAATGGAAAGATAAAAAATACATAGCCATTGGCTATTACAAAAACATGACATTCATGAAGGTAATTCATGTTAGTCACTAAATATCTATACTTCTCTCTCCTGCTTCCTTGAAGTTAAACACGTTGGTGTTATTTACTGCAAGTCCATGAAAAGAGCAGAGTCCCTGCTGAAGAAAAGCCTTCATGGCCCAATGCATGACTCACTACTTTCTATTTTTCCCATCTCATTGTTTCCCATAGTGAAATCTTCCAAAGTTGGATCCCTGAGTGAGGATGACACGAAATGGATGCTACTATTCCCTAAATTACTTCATGTCCTTGTTGTAGACATCAGGTTGGGGATGTTTGTTAGCAAAATCTAACTTGCCCAAGTAATCCTCAAAGTATGATCTGTACTGAGTGGACCACGCCCAATGCTTTCTCCAAACCTTTATAAATCTGCAACAAGTTCTGGAGCTTCGGCTACAATGTAAACGAACTCTCTCTCTCACTAAGCACACTTTTATCTGTTACAATTTTTTTCTTTTGGTTAATTTTAAGACATTCTCCATGAAAGAGGCAGTGGTTTAATTTACAGTCTGGCACAAGCTTTTTTTACGTACCGGAATTGGTGGGTTCTTGGTCTGGCTGACTTCAAGAATGAAGCGGTTGACCCTCACGGTGAGTGTTACAGTTCTTAAAGATGGTGTGTCCAGAGTTTGTTCCTTCAGATGTTCAGATGTGTCGGGAGTTTCTTCCTTCTGTTGGGTTTGTGGTCTCGCTGACTTCAGGAGTGAAGCTGCAGACATCCGTGGTAAGTGTTACAGCTCTTAAAGGCAGTGCGTCTGGAGTTGTTCATTCCTTCCGGTGGGTTCGTGGTCTCCCTGGCCTCAGGGGTGAAGCTGCAGACCTTTGCGGTGAGTGTTACAGTTCATAAAAGTTCATAGAAGTGGCGCGTCCAGAGTTGTTCATTCCTCCTGTCCGGAGTTGTTTGTCCCGCCCTGTGGGTTTGTGGTCTTGCTGGCTTCAGGAGTGAAACTGCAGACACTGGCTGTGAGTGTTACAGCTCATAACAGCGGGGCAGACCCAAAGAGTGAGCAGCAGCAAGATTTATTGAGAAGAGTGAAAGAACAACGCTTCCACAGCATTGAAAGGGACCCAAGTGGGTTGCCACTGCTGGCTTCGGAGGCCTGCTTCCCTTATCTGGCCCCACCCACATCCTGCTGATTGTCCATGTTACGGAGAGCTGACTGGTCCATTTTACAGAGAGCTGATTGGTGCGTTTTGACAGAGTGCTGATTGGTGTGTTTACAAACCTCTAGCTAGACACAGAGTGCTGCGTTTACAATCCTTTAGCTAGACAGAAAAGTTCTGCAAGTCACCACCGGACCCAGCCGGCTTCACCTCTCAATGGCACTCCCTGCTGGACTTCGCGGCACCTAGCCCAGGGCACTCCAGCAGCCCAGAGTGAGCTCCTCCCCTGAGCAGGCGCTGGCTGGCCGCGCAGAGTAGGGGGCCCGCTGAGCCTGCGCCCACCAGGAACCCGCGCCGGCGGGAGCGCCACCGGCGCAGCCTCGGCTCCCGCCCGCGCCTCCTCCTCCACACCTCCCCGCCAGCAGAGATAGCCGGTGGCTGCGGCCTCTGCCAGCCCCAGAGAGAGGCCCCCACAGCGCAGCGGCGGGCTGAAGGGCTCCTCCAGCGCGGCCAGAGCGGACGCCGAGGCCGAGGAGGAGCAGAGAGCGAGCAAGGGCTGCTAGCACGTTGTCACCTCTCAAAAGTATCTAGATGACCTGAATGATAAAAAGCGAGTAAGTTTGATTTAATAAAAATATATGGTACATTGCATCATGACATTGGGAAATAGATGGCATTTTCAAAAACATTTTGATGACTTACGAAAAGTGAACATGATCTAGCCTCAAAAAATAAATAAAAGGAACAGTGCTATATATGCCATTTTTATCACAGTACAATTAAATTAGAATCAATTACATATAGCTTGAAAAGTATATGAACATAAACATACATCGAAAACACATTTTAAGCAACCGATTACTTTAGAAATCTTAGTGTATAGAATAGAAATATCTTGGCCTGTTAAGGATACACACATGTATATATGTGTTTATATACATGTGTATATATGTGTATGTGTGTATGTATATGTATATGTGTATGTATATATGTGTGTGCGTATATATGTGTGTTCATCTATATAAGTATAAAATACATAGCTCAGCCAAAACAGTACTAAAGGAGCATTTAAAGGAGCACTTATATTTGAAATGATATAAAAGAAAATTAGAGTGGCTCACACTAAATGAGCCAAATATTTAACAGGAAGTTAGAAAGAACAGTATAATAAAACCAAAAATAATACAATAACGAAAATAATAAAAATAAAGAGCTGAAAATCATGCCAGAATAATTTTATATTAGAAGAGCAAGCAAGTTAAAACAGTGGTTCCTAAAAGATGAATAAACTATACAAATATTTGTCAATATTAAAAAAAAGATATATTTGTGTGTATATATTTATATATATTATTTAATATATTTTATTAATATAGCTATGTAGATATATTTTATTAGCTTTTATTTAAAAATATAATTTCAAATATAAATGCTCCTTTTAAGTACTGTTTTGGCTGAGCTATACATCTTATACATATATAGACAAACACATATGCATATATACACACACACACATACATATTGTGAAACACATAGGGAAATAAATCACCATGATTGACATACATATGTGTGTGTGTATATATGGCTTAATAAACAATATTAGATATTGTAAAAGAATATAGACATAGAGTCTGAAGATACTAAACAGTAATAAGATATAATATTTGTAAAAACTTTTAATAAGCTTGATATTTTGGAGTAAATCATACATATATATTTAACTTGTTATGTCGTCTCTCTATACATACATAGAAAATATTTATTACCTACTCAAACTGCAAAAGAAATAACGTGACATGAACATGTCCTTAAATGTAAATTAAAATGTTTTTACTAAAATAAAAATAGGCTAAGGCACTTATGATAGTGTTTCAAATAAATCCAAACACTAATCTTATATGAATAATTACACTGGCCGGCAGATTAACAATAGGAAAAACTACCAACACATTTTATGTTTTGATAACAAAACAAGCCAGGTACAGTATGAGGAAAGAAAATCACAGGTTAATCTCATTCACAAATATAGATTCTAGAAATCTAAAAAAAATACTAGCAAGTTGAGTACAGAAACACATAAAAAGAGATAATGTATCATTTTCACGTTGTGTCTACACAAGCAAAATAAAATTGGTTTAGTAAAGATTTTGAATGTTGTCATTACAAAGAAAGATACATTTTAAAAGTGATGGATATGGTGATCACCCTAATTTAACCATTATATAATATATACATGCATTGAAATATCACATTGTACCTGATAAATATGTGCAATTATTGTGTCAATTATTTTTAAAATTAAATAAATATTTAAAAAAGAAGAAGAGCATGGAGTCTACAGGAGTAAAAGTGTTCCACTCCTGCCCCTAAAGAAGATTATAAATACCTGGAAATATACCATTTTGATATTGCTGAAGGAAAAATTCATTTCCACATTCTGCCCAAAACTTATTGTGAAAACCACTGTCAGGCAAATAAGTCACACTTATTTTGCTAAATTCATTACCCACCATCCTCAACAAGATCCTTCAGCTTAAATACATCCAAACTACACTTATTAATCATTCACCAAAAGAATACCCTGGATATTTGTTCTGACTCGAGTGTTGCCCTAACTTGATTCATTGGAATACCTCCTTTAAGATCAGTTAAATATAGCTTTCATCTTGTACTATTGTTAATAATGAAGGGTGTCCAGGTTCTTGGCGTCTTGAACAAAGACTTGGACAAAACGCACAAACAAAGTGAGGAAGGAATGAAGAGTTTTATTGAAAATGAAAGTACACTCCACAATGTGCGAGTGGGCCTGAACATATGGGTTCAAAGTCCCGTTACAGAATTTTTGGGAGTTTTAATACCTCCTAGAGGATTCCATTGGTTACTTCTGGTACACCCTATGCAAATGGAGAGGATGAAGTAAATTTACAAAGTTATTTACGGTGTATGCCCTATGGAGAGGATATTTCCTGTTACCGCTGAAGTGTGAATTGGCCTCATGTCCCCTGCCCCCAGAACCTATTTTACTGCCTCACTATTATCTTATTTAATTCATATGTTAAATAAATCCATTTTACTATCATTATTTTACGCAATAATTACCTTGACGATATATTGAAGTATTACATATTCCTCTTGTACTGCAATTTAAAACAAACATTTTAAATTATCATTTTAAACACAGTGCCTAGATAACACCTATAATCATGCATATAGTCAATTGAATGCATACTACTTTCTATCATGGCTGTGCTGCACTTTACTTACTATTACTTTATGTTCCCTTGGCTGTGACCCAGATCTCATCTCTTTTCCACACACTCACCGTTAAATACCACTGTGTGCCACAAGATACAACACTGTGCTCAGCATATTCACTTATTGCAGCAAAATCCCTTTGAAATATACACATTTTGTGCCCTAGCCTCAAAAGGTGTTCTTTTATGATACCTCTTAATTTTCTTATACTCCACCATTCATAGGGTTAGGTGATAGGATTTGTATCTTTTAAATTTCTTCTACTTTTCTTTCAATTAAGCGCAGCTTTCATGGAGAAAACAAACAAAACCTCCACCACCTTAATATTTATATTTTCACTTACACAATTACCTTTCTCTTTCTAGTATGTACTCATACATTAAAGGTTTTTGTGTCTGACGTACTTTATTTGTTGACTGACCATTTGCTGACAGCATCCTTGAGAAGTTCAACATCAAGGTTAAAAAAAAATGCTTTTTCTCTCAAATGGGCTCAGCCACTTACTGCCAAACTTACACTATAAATTTTGTCAAAACAAGATACTGACAAACTTTCTCTTTTTTTTGAGACAGAGTCTCCCTCTGTTGCCCAGGCTGGAGTGCAGTGGCCTGATCTCGGCTCACTGCAAGCTCCACCTCCCGGGTTCACGCCATTCCCCTGCCTCAGCCTCCTGAGTAGCTGGGACTACAGGTGCCTGCCACCACGCCTGGCTAATTTTTATACATTTATTAGAGACGAGGTTTCACCATGTTGAGCAGGCTGGTCTTGAACTTCTGTCCTCAGGTGATCCACCCACCTCTGCCTCCCAAAGTGCTGGGATTACAGGCGTGAGCCACCATGCCTGGCCCGATACTGATGAACTTTCTATTGGAAACTGATGTAAGTATGGTCATCCACAATCATTAGATGTCTTTTTGTAGTAATTCTTCAGTTGTAGGACATGTGCAAGCGTTATCAGTCTCCCTACTGTCAGATGATATGTTATAATGAAAACAACTCTCAGAATAAATTCTGCTGTCCTGGGAAATGTTATTGTCATTTAGGCAAAAAAAAAATTATAAAACGATTATAGAGGCTCAATGAATTCCAAGTGTTGTGTCTTCCCCAAATCTTGAAGGTTGATATGAGTCACAAGTAACAATACTCTAGCAGCAAAATTTGATGAACCTTCTAATCAGTGTCAGCGCATAACCCATAGGAATTACAGGCATGAGGACCTATTTACCTGGGATCCTTTGTTTTCTCTACTTTGCATAATCATGGAAGTGACTTCCCAATACTTTTACTGATTCACATCTAACTTATTACTCATCCTAGAAGTGAAAAATATTTACAAATGTCCGTTATACTATTTAATAAATCCTTGGTATAGATGGCAGTAAGTATAGCTAAAGTATTTTGATAATCATAGCTTGAGGGTAAATTTTTAATTTTAGTTTTGAATTATTAAATAACCACACAGAAAGAGTGTATATCAGATTACGTGAAGCCAAATATTAACTAAAAGAGAAACATGAGACCCAAGGACTAAGGCTTCAATGGATAGACTGATTATAATGCTGGCTACTAATGTTAGTGGAAATGTAACTGTGCTGGCATTTTTTTTTTTTTAATGACTGTTCTTGTTTATCAGGGCCGAGATTTTGAGTGGGCTGTGCTAATTCTATTATTTTCTCATAAGTAAGTTTGCCCATGTAATTCACAAAATTAACCTGAGCATTTTTTAAAGGGAAAGGGGATAATAACTGGATAGTTTCTGGGGAAAGCATGTTTAGTACTACCTCAAACAACCTGGAATAGGTATTCATCCTACTAATTTTAGAGAATATGGAGTTTTGCAGAACATATTCTGAGTTACGGAAGATTTTGTACAAACTATCACCAACATACCAACAATCTGTGCTACTGTGGCAGAGTCTGCTCATTGACCATAAAAATCTCTGTTTCTTTTCCCTGGGAAGACAACTGAGCCAAATTTGTTAGAATTCTTTACATTTAGCTGTGATAATATGACTGAATTCAGGTCAATGGAAGGAGAACAAAAATAATGCATGCTTCTTCTAGGCCTGTCCTTTTCCTCCTCTGGTTGATTCTGGCAACAGAATAATCACCTGGTGGTCTGGACTAGCCTTACAATTGAAGATGGCACAGTGGTCCTCAGCATGGGTCCCTGAATGACTGTGGAAAATATGCTCTCATCCCCTCACCAATTACCCTGGACTGTTAGATGATCTACTCTTCTATTATGTTGAACCACTATGTACTTGAGTCTATGAGTTGTGGTAGCCCAGCATTGCCTAATTTATTGGAATACCTTTTGGATCTTTACACTCTGCCTGTATTTACGGTTTTATTTGCCAAGGTCTGGGGACATTTGGTTTTAGTTTTTCGTTTTATTGTGTCTGTTTATATATCTTTATTATTACCACTATTATTATATTCTTTGTATATGAAAAAACACTCTGCTGATTTTACTGAGATTTCTTTTATTACCAGTTGTTAATAAGCAATATATGTGGGCTATTGAGTCACCCCATTATAGTTAGCATGCTATAATGAAAGCAAGTAATTTGAATTCTGTGTAACGCTTACCTCACAATGTGTCAAAGGTAAGAGTTGCTAAATTCCACAAACCTGGATACGTTTACCCCTAAGAGTTCAAACAGCGGAACAGTGAGTAAGTAGTATTCATAAAGTTGTGGACATTTTTGGTAGGCTAGGCTAGTAAGAGGAAGTTTCTTTGATGAACTGATATTTGAGCAGATATTTGAATAATATGAAATAACAAGCTATGAAAAGCTGGCACAAAGAATTTTACATGACTTTGTTAATACCACTAAACTCAATGACTTGCAGGAAGCCAAGAACACTCAGGGAACAGATCCAATCCTCAAGATTTAAAGTTGTGGGAGTAGCAAAGTGCTATCAGCTACATTGTTTGAGAGAAAAAAAAACAGCATTTTATTGGTATTTCATTTAAACACTGTTATATACAAGTGTTTCTATTACTTCTTCTTATGTGCAGTAATACATGTTTATAAGTATAATTGAAAAAAGTGCCACTATCCATATATTTCCTGCCTAGTTAATGACTCTAATACTAATTGAAAAGCTTCTGCAGTGTCATAATTCCATCAATAAATCTATGTATTTATAGCGATACTATCAGCAAAGTGTCTCATTGTTTTGACCTGGTGCCATTTTAGAACAGGCAATAAATGAGGGGAGGAATAATAATTTCAAGAGCAAACCTTCCTGTTTCTCATGCATACATATTTTTCAGACCTAAGAAAACATTAGCTCTTTAAAACTTTAACTTTTGGAAAACTAGATATTTATTGTTCTTAATTTATATGATATTTCTTACCGCATTGTAACATCATCTGTAAATAGTCCATGTCACCACTTTATTTTCCTTTGGGTCATGGGCCTTCTGTTATACAATATGATTTTAATTACATTTGGAAGATTTAAAAAAAATAATCATTAATAGCAGACATAGCAATTGATAGTCTGAAGCACTTTCTCCTATTCAGTCCATCCAGCTATACTAATATGATTTTCATAGTTTGTAACCAGTTTTCAACATTTAACTGCAAATACAAGTAGGGCAGAGAGTTCATGTGTGAAAACTTGGTAGTTTTATTCTGACATTTAAACTGTTTTTACTTTTAGATAGAACACATAGCTTTCTCGCACAGTGAGGCAAGTGTTGCACAGAATTTATAGAATTCACATTTGAAGCTCAATCTCCTATTATTGCCAAATACAGGATAGAATTAATAACCATGTCTAGTTTGCAAATATGGATCTTGGTGTCCACGAGTGTGCTATACAATGCTGATAAAATAGTTATCAAAACTGATATGTAACCCCTGTTCTCATGGAAACTTGACAAGAAACAAATGCAAAGGAAGCCAGTCATTGGATAATTAATTATACAAAAACCATTTAGTAAAAATTGTGTTTAAGTAATTAGTTTGTGAGGATACAACGGACAAAACAAAACAGAAATTTGTAAGAAAAAGTAAATCTTAACCTAGCCCAGAATATAACACAATATGTCCTTGGGGAAATAATTGTGTGTTGAGACCTGATAGATGAATGAGTGCCAGTAGGAAAATGTGGTGGGCACGGAGAGGTAGCATTTTAGTAAAGACAGAGCATGGTCTATGACGATAAATTGGGAACATGCTTGATGTTTGAAAAATGGAGACAAGGCTGATATCTCTGGAGCTTAATGAGTGAAAGGGAGATTGGCAGAAAATTGGGCTGAAGTCAGAGTCAATGAACGGATCCTACAGAGATTCTAACAGAGTGAAGGATGAAGATTTTATTCTACGTGCAATGGAAAGGAGCTTACGGTGTTTAAGTATGATTTGACCTAATCGGCCTTGCTACTGAAGGAGATGATTCGCACTGCTGATGGAGAAGAGTTTAGACTAGGACAATAATATTGGATATATTGGTTGTAATGGAAGGCATTAGAAACACATAATAGGTCAGACACAAAGCCAACTATAGTTTCCATGGATTTAGCCCAAGATGGTGAATTAGAGCTATGTTTTGTAGTTAAAGCCACTAAGATTCTGAGTAAGGAGGAGGAGATGCCGCTGTTAAGTATAAAGGTGCTGGTAAACTGACAGAGGGGAACAGGGTATGAGGATTACTCCTACTCCTCTGCCTAAAATTCTATCATGGGTTTCCATTGCCAAGACAATGAAGATGGATGCTAGTGGCTAAAAGAATAAGTGTTCTGGCCAGGCACGGTGGCTCACGCCTGTAATTCCAGCACTTTGGGATTCTGAGGCAGGTGGATAATGAGGTCAGGAGTTTGAGACCAGCCTGACCAATATGGTGAAACCCCATCACTACTAAAAATACAAAAATTAGCCAGGCATGGTGGCATGTGCCTGTAATCCCAGCTACTCAGGAGGCTGAGGCAGGATAATTTCTTGGACCCCAGAGGCAGAGGTTGCAGTGAGCTGAGGTCACGCCACTGCACTCCAGCCTGAGCAACAGAGCTTGACTCTGTCTCAAAAAAAAAAAAAAAGTACTCTAATTTGGATTCCCTGTACTTTCAAATTGAGCTTTCTTAATTAGAATATATGCAGTCTAAAATCAGTCTAAAATACCTAACCTCCCTTGGTTTCTGGCTGTATAAATGGTGATAATAATTGTATGTCTCTCAGAGTGTTGGCACATATATGGATTAAAAACAATGTGAAAAAATTTACATAATTGACTCTTCACAAGCATACAGTAACAGTTAATTATGAAATTAAACTTCACTGATATGGCCTACTGATCCCTACTAAGGTTCTGGGCATCTGTGTTCATGTCTCCATGATTGCCCAGTGGCACTCTTTCCCTTACACCTGGCACTCCAGAGACACTAGCCACCTTTCATTTCTTCTGGCATACTGTAATTGGTTCTGCCTCAGCTCCTGCTTGGCAGGATGCCAGGAGTTAATTCTCTTCTGCTCCTGCCTTCACCTAGTTAATATTTACTCATCCTTCAAGTCTCAGCTCAAATGTCAGATTCCTCAGAGGAGGCATCTTCTACCAGACTGCAAATTTGTGAAGGCATAGGAAACAATGCTTAGCAAACTGTTTCTCAACAGCACCCAGTGCAATATTGACAACATGACAAAGACTCCACAGGTATTTATTGGATGAGTTAATTGCTAATGATCAAATAAATAAATGGAAAAGAATCATGTTTCGGGACAAAGACTATGAGTTTCAATGTGGATATACTGACATTGAAAGATCTATGGACTATTTAAATGGAGATTTTATTTTTTTCTATCCTAAAATAATGTTTGCTGATGGAGAAAAAAGTAAGAAGAGGGCAAAGGATCCTAGACTTTCTCTGAGACTCTGGATACAAATGCTCCCCCACAAGATAGAGTTGTTTTAGTACTACTGAAGTATTAAGTACTAAGACAGAAACCTTTAAAAAGCAATAATCAGAGTAAGAGAAAAATGTTGGAGGTAATCACAATGAACTGGATGTTTCACTATTAATAGATTTGAATCTTTGTTTATTGGGATGGTAAGGAATATCACCTTGTAAGTGAAAAGACACCTTTAATTCAGAATAGTTCAGACTCAATTACCAAATAGAGGCTAAGAGTTTCAAATCTGTAAAAGTAATATTTTACATTGGGAAAAAGTTTGTGTTCATTTGCTATTTGACACACTTACAATATTTAATAGAATATGGTACATGAGGAGTTTCTCTTTGGAAATAATATGCATTCTTGGAAAAGCTCGTGCTTTATAAAATCAGATACTGAGATTAATAAGTACAAATAATGAGAAATAATAAGTAAAATTAATGGGAAAATGGAGGCATCCATGCAAAATCTATGCAATTTTTAAACCAGAGGATTTAATGAACAGTAAGAACGTAAACCAGAAGCTGTGTTAAATCTCTGTTGCTATCTGCACCCACTACCACCCAGGTCTTCTCTGTGGGATTCAAGGCAACCTGGAAGGAACAGATAACCACTCCACACTCACAGTGCACCTTTCTGGGGAGAAAATCCTAGTACAGGTGGTTGCTCTTATTTTTCTCAAAATTGAACTAACATGTTCACTGATGCCAGTGCAGCAGCTAAGTTGATGAATAAATTTGCCTTCCTCTGTTGAAGTTCATAATTACATTATACTGATATCATTCTATGTATTAGTTGCTTGTGAACTAATTTTTATTATAGAAACGTGTTACAGGTGAACAGACTCCACAGAAAGATAGCTTCCAACAATTTATCAGGATTGGTCTCATAATATTTCAGTTTCTCATAAGATTTCAGGTTCCTTATTAAATAAATAATATTAGAGTCAAACAATATAGAAAGATGTGGCTATTATAAATAATATGGCACACATATATATGGGCTAATACAGAAAGATGCCCTCAGCTAAAATGAAGGGGGGGACACCAACCTTTTCTTAAAGTGAATATACATCAAATCATGACCAAAATGAAGTTTAAAAAAATTTTACTGCAGGAATAAATGTTTCAAAACTGAAAAATAATGTGTGGTCTGTGTGTGCATGTGTGTGTGTGTGTTTGTGTGTATGTAAGTGTTGTGGAAATCTGAAATTGTTCCTTTAGTCCAACTTCTTTGCTTTTTCTAATTATAACGGGTGAGAGGTCTCATCGACTATCTGGGGGAAGAGGGAACACCTGCAGACTTCAGGGAACCATTAAATATGTACTTCTAAAATTCTCCAACCTATGCGCTTTTCCTCCTTCCTTTCCAGTTTTTTCCACTAACATTTCATCCTCACCAAGTATATTTGTATTTCCCATTTGCAGCGACTTACGTTCTCTCCCCGTTGAAGTAATCGAGTCCCCATGTTTGTATTGGCTGTATAACTAATATTTGGAACACAGAAGATCAGCCTCAGTCTTTAGTAAAAACTTATTATTACTTCTTGCTTTTCCTCAATTTCCTCTCTCATCATACAACTAGATTTCATTATATTCTCAATACACATTTGTTCATTTTTGTTGTTGTTAATCTTTAATTCAGCAGCTACTATTTAAAAAATGAGAGGTGAACACTGTTTTTTGTAACTTTCCTAAAATTCTGTGGTCCATTTTGGAAAGGATCATTCCATCACATAAATGCATTATTTCTCAAAATAAGAAAACAAATCAGCTGTATCCCTAAGAATTCTCCTTACCTAAGCATGAGAGTAATGGAGTGTGTGCCCACGAAGGGGAGAGAAGAAGGCAACACTGCCTTATCCTTTAGAAGGCTTGCAAAATTTCCAAAGGAATGTTGTAATTATTTTGCCTTGGGGAAAGACACTCATTTATTTAGTCAGTTAATTGGCAAGTTTTTATTTAAGGCCTAATGTATGGAAAGTATTATACTGAATGTACGAAAAGTATTGTGCTTTCCATAGATTCAATGATGAACAAACCTGACAATTTTTTTTTTTTTTGAGACAGGTTCTGTTGCCCAGGCTGGAGTGCAGTGGAGTGATCTAGGCTCACTATAGCCTCCACCTCCCAGGCTCAAGCAGTCCTCCCACTTCAGCCTCCCAAAGTGCTGGGACCACAGGCATGAAACACCACACCCAGCCTGACAAAAACTTTGCCCTCAGAAAACTAATTTTATTGTAGGTATATAGTACTGAATTTATTTTATCTTTAATACATATATCTTAAGTCACTTTGTATACATTAGATTAAAATAACCTTGTCTCCATAAAAAAGATACTATTCAAGAAAGTATTGTAATTTATTAATATGTTCTCACAGCAGTTTTAAACTTTTTATTTTGAAACAGTTTGGAACCTCAGAAAAGTTGCAAAAAGTATAGGGAAAGTATTCTTTATTCAGCTTTTTTAATGTTAACATCTTCCATAACCGCATAAGGTTACTGAAAGAAGGAAGGTCAGCCTGGGCAACATAGTGAGAACCCCACTGACAAAAAATAAAATGTTAGCCAGACATGGTGGCACAAGCCTGCAGTCCCAGATACTCAGGAGGCTGAGGTGGAAGGGTCACTTTGGCCTGGGAGCTAGAGGCTGCTTGAGCCATGATCACACTACACTTTAGTCTATATGAAAGAGCAAGAACCTGATTCAAATAAACAAACAAACAAAAATAATAAGAAGAAGAAAGGTTACATTGAAAAAAATACTACTAATTAATCTACTGATTTTTCCTGCTGTTTCAAGACTTTGGCACTTTTGAATAGCATCAGCCAGCCATCAGCCATTTTCCCCGTAAACTGGGTTTTGTGTGATGTTTTCTCATAATGAAATTGATGTTTTTTTTCTTTTTTGGGGGCAAGATTACCACAGAAGCCCTATTGTGCCTTTCTCAGTGAATCATGTCAGGTGTTGTATGATGTCATCCTAATATCTTATTTCTGGTAATACTAACTTTGGGGTGGTGCTTGTCGAGTTTCTCCACCATGAAGTTATGTTGTCTCTTTGTAATTAGTGTTTGATAATTTGAGATGTAAAGGGATATTTTGAAAGAACATAAGTATCTTCTTTTCCATGATACTTTTTGTCCAGTAATTTTAGCACCTATTGGTCTTGTCAGCAGCAATTATTTTGAAGTTTATAGCTGATGTTTCCATTTTGAGGAATGATTTTTAGTCTGTTTTATTTATATATTTTTTTCTCTGGTTTTCTCTCAGTTGTTCCTATGTCTTGGTGAACCTGTAATTTTGAGATTGATTGCCAGACAATTGCCAGTGTCTGAATTATATGAATTTTGCTCAGAGAAAATTTAATATTTTTCTGAAAGAGTAATAGTATATGCAAATTTCCTTGACCCCACCAGACATTCAGCTGATTCAAGACTTAATTTTCAGTCCTTGTGATAAAATACTTATTTCTTTTTTCCTTCTTTCTCCTAGAGGTTGACCTTCACGCATTTCCACTTAGTGCAGGGGTTATTTACTAAGTCTGTTCTCTTGGTTGAATGCTGATGTCTAATTTTTGCCTGTACTATAACTTTCAAACTGCCAAAATCTTTGCTTGGGCTTTCAGTCTTCTAGGAACTGCTTTATGCTTGGAAATTTCCACCTCTCACTCCATGCATTTGAAACTCATGAATCAGCTATTTTCTTCATAAAAGATTGCACAGAGGTTATTGGGCTTCATTCTTTGCAGTTCCACTTTCCTTAATATTAACCCCTAATTCGTCACTTATTTAGTAGCTCTGAAAACAACATTTTATCTCCTGTGGCAAGTGAATCTGTTATAAATTATACTCCACGGCTACCCACTATACCCCTGCAATCAGAATTATAGGACTCATATTCCAATGTTTTCCTTTGTTCGAGGAGCTTAATTCCTCACGTCCTGTCTGTGGCTTTCTGATTCTTCTACACCGCTGTTTTGTTTGATTTACCCAGCATTTCTTATTCTTATCAGTAGGCAGTTTAGTCTGATACTATCTTCTTCATTACAGCCAGTGGAAGAATGTTCAGCATCTCATTTTGGATCAGTCTTAGACTGGCAGTTAAGATATTATAGTATTTAACATTGTTTTTGTTATTAGTATTGTTATTAAATCTTTACATATTTGTGAATGTGCTTATGTGTATGTGTAAACTGCGGAGTAGAAATGGATGTTTTATTAAACTTTATTGTTAGCTAATTTTTCTCGGACTGTAGTTTCTATTGCTCTTAATTTCTAAGAGCAATAGAAAAAGTCATTTTGTAAATGCAAAAGTTACAGAGGTTGAATGGTACGTAAATTAATGTCAACATAAAATGAAAGTATTGACTTTAATCTTTATGGTTGAACACATTTTATTTTCTACTCGATTTGGATTGTGCCTCTATTTCAATCTTGATTTTGCATCCATCAGGGATTACATAGCTTATATCTAATTTAACTTAAATAACAATGTCAGTTATTATGAACAAAAACTATCATTTAAATCATTTTAAATAGCTATATTCATTACCAGAATATAGATGAGAAAATATATATGTATATATTCATTATCAGAATATAGATGAGAATTCTAGATATAACTTGTAAACTATGTGAATTATCTATGAATAATTAATTGGTCAATTGAAGAATAAAGGTTTATTATTGCAGCCATAATTAAAATTATGAAACCAATGAATTTAACATTCAAAAAATGTGAGCAATTTACAAGTAATTATATATAGAGTAAAAAAATTGACCACTAGACAACTATTAAGAACAGCACAATGTCTAAATAAATTTAGGAAGAGAACGTTCTCATTTTAGCTTAATTAATGATAATCATTTATGTAATAAGGAAAAGCAGAATAATAGATTAGAACTGTTTGGGGTAATAACATGCCAATTATCACTTAAAATAACCTTGAATTATTGGACATACAGTGATATTAGACCCTGAGTTTTTAAAGAAAAGATCATTTAATAAATAAAAAGTAGAATATTAATTTTGTGTTCTCAAATTCCAAAATGATCAGAAATTCAAAATTATACATAAAATTTCAAAAGATAAATTTTAATCTAGTTTTTAATAAAAAGATCTAATATAATTTTTGAGTAAAAATGTTTTATTTTTGTATATTAGAAATTCATTATTTGATGTTGAATTTTAAATTTTGACTTGGCTTTGTTTGAACATTTATTTCTAATGTTTGAACATTTATTTCTAATGCTTGAACATTTCATATTCGACTAAAATATGCAATTGTTTAAACTAAAAAAACATGATCAACCCACCAGCAACATGGTAAAGCTATTAGATGGAGAATAATAACTGCTAAGTCTTCACCAAACCCTCTTCTTCATTTTCAGTCTTAATTATAATGCTGTATGTACAACTATGGCACTTTCTTTTTCTTTTTTTTTTTTTTTTGAGAGGGAGTCTCCCTCTGTCACCCAGGCTGGAGTGCAGTGGTGCGATCTTGGCTCACTGCAAGCTCCGCCTCTCGGGTTCACACCATTTTCCTGCCTCAGCCTCTGGAGTAGCTGGTACTACAGGCGCCTGCCACCGTGCCCGGCTAATTTTTTGTATTTTTTTTTTAGTACAGACGGGGTTTCACCGTGTTACCCAGGATGGTCTCGATTTCCTGACCCCGTGATCCGCCTGCCTCGGCCTCCCAAAGTGCTGGGATTACAGGTATGAGCCACCGCGCCCAGCCGAGCTATGGCAATTTCACTGTGCCATGCACGGGGGCAAAGGCTTTATATCAGAAAAGACCACATTGCACTATGTGATACTTTTAACTCAATAACATTATTAAATAATCCATTGTATATACTTTTGCGCAGTGCTCTGTTAGGTGCTTGTTCACAAAATATTGCAAATCACCAAAAAAAATCTTCAACATCTGCATGTAAAATGTGCTACTTCCCTTGCAAATACAAAAATCAACCATAGAACACTGCCAACTTTATTTGGCAAACATGCAAGAAAGACTGCGCACATAGACCCACAGCTTTAGCATTGTATTATTTAATTTAGAAATTTAATTCTTAATATGAAATCTAGGCTGCTTCTCTGCTTGTGTGGATCTCTGATTTCAACATTCAACAAAATGAAGGTAGTAAAATGTGTTAAAATATTTGGATTATATTTTCATTTTTTAATTTGAAAGGAATGCTTTCAAGCATGTGCCAGATTTTTGGTATATCTTAGTCAAGACTTGAAACTCATGAACATATAGACTAGTTTTGATTAGATATTTTGTTTTTAATATATTCATTCCCAGTTACACAGATGCATTTACTTAGAACTCATTATACTTTATCCTGAGAGTAAACAAAAAATAGATGAAGAGAAATAAGTATTACAGAAAAATAGAGGGTATGTTATAACGAAGTATATATTGCTACATATAATTAATTTCCTTGAACTATTAAAAGCAAACCTTTGATGCATGAGTTTATCACTCCTGTTGGATTGGTGTCAAGGCAGAAATTCAACATGTATATTTCTAACCAGAATTATGGTTGACTCACCCAGTATAGGCAATTCTTTATTTTTTTAACTGCGAATAATCTTGGGAATAATGGTGAATGGAAACTTTGGCCTGCCTTTAAATGACGATAGGGTGAGGAACAACAAGAACAAAAAATGAAAAAACAAAAAAATTTACTCTGGAAACCTAGTTCAGAGAACACAGAATTGTATCCGACATGACATTGCAGTATGTGTCTCATCCTTGAAACTGACCATTGGTGGAGTCTTTCACACCCTGCCAGTGAATCTGAACCATTTTGTAAAGAAGAACTTAAATCAGAAGTGAAAACAAGCATTAACATGTCAAAGTGTGAGCAAAATTAAAATGAATTTCAGCAGTCCATTGCCCCATACAGTACTCAGTGTTATTCATAATTTTGAAAGTCAGTATGTTTTCTTAGTTTAGTTCTTTTGCTGTTCCTACCTTCATATGTATCTGCTCTTTAAACAATAACAACAAATATTTTCAGTAATTTTTTTGTAATCCAAAGTGTTTATATTCCAACTTTTATTTATATCAGTATAGTCTCATGCACATTTATTTTATATCTTGAGTTGTAATCCAGTGCCACGCTATTTATTTTGTTGCTTAATTTATTGTTCCAGGTCTGGTCATCAGGAGCTCTTTTAGCTTAACTTGTGTTTCCCTTTGATATGCTGTCATTCTATTGTTTGAGCACATCTTTACTTTATTTCCTCTGTCCTAAACCTAGGAAACAGCAATTCCTCTGAGGAGCTCTGGCTCCTCTAATTGGAGAATGGTATTTAGAAACCAAGATCTAAGTGCTAGGTGCATTCTTTGCTAGTAAGGTCACTGCTTCCTCAGCAGACAAATCTAGGAAATACATGCTGTATCCTCACATCTTAACTTCATATTATTTCCGTATCTGTTTGTCAATAAATCTGTATCTATATATATTTTAAGTTGAGAATATGCCTTTTTTATTTCTGTGACTCAAATTCAGGACAAAAGGGTTTATCCTAGACTTATCTTCTTGCATATCTGTAGCTTCTGTCTATTACAATAAGACACCTGGTTCCTACCATCCTTCATTCATTTACTTATTTGTTCAACCCCACTTTAAGTGTAAAGAAGGTTCACAATTGTTAACTCATATTCTCTTCTGCCAAATAATAAATATAATCATAGTATGGTGTTTATATAGTACATTTTGTCTTTGGACTAGCATTTACAATCAAAACATTATTTTCCAAAGTTACCTAGGTCAGTTCCTTTGTTATCCCCATCCCCTTCAGAGAGGTTATTTCGTACAATAAAAATATAGTTTAATTAATTTGTCACAGTTGCATTCCATCTTGAGATCTCTGGCATCCTGCTTGTTTTTTTTTTTCAATCTGTAAACTATAGGTTTTGACCAATTCTTAGAAGCGTGTATCCATTAGTCTAATACTATATAGAATATTTCTGTCACCCTCTAAGTTCCCCGTGCATCACTTTTGTAGTCAATACCGTTATCCAATATCTGAAAACCACTGAATTCCATTCATATAGTTTTATCTTCCCAAAATGTTGTATGAATGGAATACAACATGTAGTCTTTGGGTCAGGCTTTTTTCACCTATAAAAATGTATTTCATATTCATCCATGTTGATATATGAATAAGGAGCATATTTCATGTAATTACAGAAAAGTATTCTATTGAATGGATATAACTTGATGTGTTTATCTGCTATACTCTTGAAGAAAAGCCTGGTTGTTTCCAGTTTTGCCAAAAATAATTTTGAATACACTATTTTTAGAGCAGTTTTAAGCTACAAAATCATTTTACAGAAAGTACAGAGTTTCCATATACTCTCCCCTCTCCTACACTGCCAATTTGCTTCATATTAATATCCTGCATCAGTGTGGTAGATTTGATGACCAAATTACAAGTGATGAACCCATATTGATACATCATGGTTTACATTAGGTTACACCCTTTGTGTTGTATAGTTCTATGAAATTTCACAAATGCATAAAGTCAATAATCCACCTTTACAGTAGCATATTTTCACTGCCCTAATAATGCCCTGTGGTACATTTATTCATCCTTTCCTATCATATGTAAACTCCTCTCAAACACTGATCTTTCTAGGTCTTCAGAGTGCAGTATTTTGCAGAATGTTATATAGTTGGAATCATACAATTTAGAGTCTTTCAGATTGGCTTCTTTTGCTCAGCAATATGTATTTGAAGTTCCTCTATGTCTTTTTACAGCTTCATAGCCCATTTCTTTTTATCACTAAAATATATTTTCATTGTGTGGAAGTACCACACTTTGTTTATTCATTCACCATTGGAAGGGATCTTGACTGCATCTAATTTCTGGTGGCTCTGAATAAATATTCTGTAAACATTTATGGGCAAGGTATTGTGTGGACATTAGTTTTCAACTCAGCATATATATCTAGGAGTGTAATTGCTGGATTGTATAGCAAGCCTTGGTTTAGTTTTGAAAGAAGTTGCTTACCTGTCTTCCATAGTGGCTGTACTGTTTGGCATTTCCATCAGCAATAAAAAACTATTCCTGTTCTTTCGCATTCTCACTGGAATTTAGTATTGTCAGTGTTCTGGATTTTAGTCATTCTGTTAGCTTTGTAATGGAATTTCATTGTTGCTGTAACTTTAAATTCCTTTACGAAATATAATTTTGAGCATCTTTCAAATGCTTATTTGTTATTTGTATCTTCTTTGGTTAGATGTATTTTCTGATTTTTTTTTGTCTGTCTTCTTAAAATTGTTTGTTTTCATACAGTTGAGTTTTAAGGGTTTTTTTTTTGTATGTTTTGTATAATGCTACTAATATGGTTTGAATTTGTGTCACCACTCAAATCCCATTTCAAATTGGAATCGCCAGTGTTGAAGGAAGGGCCTAATGGGATGTGATTGGATCATGGAGGTGAATTTCCCACTTGCTGTTTTAATGATAGTGAGTTCTCATGAGATCTGATTGCTTTTCCAACTAAATAAGACATGCCTGCTTCCCCTTTGCCTTCCGCCAAGATTGTAAGTTTCCTAAGGCCTCCCCAGCCATGATTCCTTTACAGTCTACAGAACTGTGAGTCGATTAAATCTCCTTTCTTTATAAATACCCAATCTCACTCAGGTAGTTTTTTATAGTAATAATGAGAACAGACTAATATAGGTATATCATCAGGTATGAATTGCAAATATTTTCTCCCTGACTGTTGGTTGGCATTTTATTCTAACAATAAACATGTCTTTCACAGATCAATTTTTTTTTAATTTTAACAATGCCCAACTTATTTGTTCACTTTCTTGGCTAGTACTTTTGGTGTTCTATCTAAAAAGACATTGCTCACAGTCACCTAGGTTTTCTTCTATGCTATCTTTTAGAAGTTTTATAGTTTTGCATTTTACATTTAATTGTATGATTGAATCTGAGTTAATTTTTGTGAAAGTTGTAAGATCTGTGTATAGGTTTGATTGGTGGTTGTTTAGCTATTATTGTTTTACACGTGCATGCCAGTTTTTCTAGCATCGCTTGTGGCAGTCTGTTTTTTTTCTATTGAATTGTGTTTGCTCTTTCATCAAAGATTAGCTGACAGTATTTGTGTGTATGTTACTATTTCTGGACTTTCTATACTATTCGATTGATCTACTTGTCTATTCTTTTACTGATACCACACTGTCTTGATCCTTGTATCTTCTTAGTCAGTCTTAAAGCAGGTAGTGTAAGTCCTCTCTTTGTTTTTCTTCAGTGTTGTGTTTGCTTTTCTGGGAAAATCAATTTCCATATAAACCTTATAACTTGCTAGAATTTTCATTTGGACTGCATTGAATTTCTAGAACACATTGGGAAAAAGTACATGTTAGTAATATTGAGACTTCCTATCCATTAACAGAAAATCTCTGGTTTTAGATGATCTTGGATTGCTTTAATCAAATTTTGTAGTTTTACTGGTATAGATTTTGCATAAATTTTGTCAGAGTGAAATGTTTCATTTGTGCTTTATGCTAATGTAAGTAATGCTGTGCTTTTAATTCAAAGCTTGCATTGTTCACTGCTGGTATATAGGAAAGTGATGGACCTTTGTATATTAATCTTGTATCCTATAACCTTGCTATGATCACTTATTATTTCCAAGAGAATTATTTTGTTTTTGTTTTTTCTTTATTCTTTGTGATTTTCTACATAGACAATCATGTGACCTGCAAAGATAGCTTCATTTCTTTGCTCCCAGTCTGTATATATTTTATTCGCTCGTCTCATTTTATTACATTATACAGAACTTTTCCAGTAAGATATTGAAAGGAGAGGTAAGAAGGATGATCCTTGTCTCATTTCTAATTCTAGGGGTAAACATCTCATTTCTCACTAAAAATTACATTTAAATAGCATAAATCACTCTTCTTACTACAGCCAGAAATACAAACAGCATAATCTAATTTTTGATGGGAATGCAAATTGACTTCAAATAAATTTTCAAATGTAAAAGATCTATCTTTCCCTTTTGATTTAATAAAATAAATTAAAATTATAAAGGAAAGTAATTACCCTACCATGTATCTTAAGTAGCAATTTTTTTTATATATATAGAATTTTTTTTTTGAGATGGAGTCTTGCTCTGTTGCCCAGGATGGAGTACAGTGGTACCATCTTGGCTCACTGCAACCTCCGCATCCCGGTTCAAGCGATTCTCCTGCCTCAACCTCCCAAGTAGCTGGGATTACAGGTGCATGCCACCATGCCCGTCTAATTTTTGTATTTTTTTTTTAGTAGAGACAGGGTTTCACCATGTTGACCAGGGTGGTCTCAATCTACTGACCTCATGATCCGCCTGCCTTGGCCTCCCAAAGTGCTGGGATTACAGGAGTAAGCCACTGCACCCAGAAAGAATGATTTTTTTTTTTTTTATGTAGGACAGAATGTTCTATCTATTTTTAAATGAAAATTAATTTTTAACTTCCCTTCCCACTTTTTCTCTGGATATTTTGTATGTATACTTTTTCATATCCATAATGTTGAATTAAAGTATTTTTATTGTAAGACTTAAATATTCAAAAATCTATTAGTAAGTATAAAGTCCCCATTATTATAACATATCCAGCCATAAAGTACAAACTTACTTTAAATCTGTACAAACTATATTTCAGAACCTCTGATATTCAAATGAACATAATTATTTAAATATGATGTTTGATTTTTATCACTAAAATAAATTAAATCTTTAACATAAATATGTTACAGGGTTATTTTTAACTTGGTCTCTATATATAGTTTTTTTTTATACACACACACACAGACAATAATACCCTCATGCTAACATATTTCACTCCATCATTCTTTAAACTCCTTTGAAACTTTTATATAGATCTTAGTGAGATGTCACTGAGCCATGTGTTGACATTATAAATGTACTGCGTCTGCTTCCATTATTTTCTGCTAGGCTGTGACAGTTAAACAGTTCCACTTTGGGCCCAAGCTATTATTTAAAAATGCATATTTCATCATTAAAATACTGTAACTTCTTTGTTTCTTCGTGTTGTTTTGTTTCTCTTGGAATATAAAAGCAGTGTCTAGGTCTTTGCCTACATACAAAAACAGCTGGTTCACAGACCCACAGTATAGGAATTAGTCATCATGAGAAACGCCTAGAGTTTCTTTTTTTTTTTAAATTTATTATTATTATACTTTAAGTTTTAGGGTACATGTGCACAATGTGCAGGTTAGTTACATATGTATACATGTGCCATGCTGGTGCGCTGCACCCACTAACTCATTATCTAGCATTAGGTATATGTCCCAATGCTATCCCTCCCCACTACCCCCACCCCACAACAGTCCCCAGAGTGTCCTGTTCCCCTTCCTGTGTCCATGTATTCTCATTGTTCAATTCCCACCTATGAGTGAGAATATGCAGTGTTTGGTTTTTTGTTCTTGCGATAGTTTACTGAGAATGATGATTTCCAATTTCATCCATGTCCCTACAAAGGACATGAACTCATCATTTTTTATGGATGCATAGTATTACATGGTGTATATGTGCCACATTTTCTTAATCCAGTCTACCATTGTTGGACATTTGGGTTGGTTCCAAGTCTTTGCTATTGTGAATAATGCTGCAATAAACATACGTGTGCATGTGTCTTTATAGCAGCATGATTTATAGTCCTTTGGGTATATACCCAGTAATGGGACAGCTGGGTCAAATGGTATTTCTAGTTCTAGATCCCTGAGGAATGGCCACACTGACTTCCACAATGGTTGAACTAGTTTACAGTCCCACCAACAGTGTCAAAGTGTTCCTATTTCTCCACATCCTCTCCAGCACCTGTTGTTTCCTGACTTTTTAATGATTGCCATTCTAACTGGTGTGAGATGGTATCTCACTGTGGTTTTGATTTGCATTTCTCTGATGGCCAGTGATGAGCATTTTTTCATGTGTCTTTTGGCTGCATAAATATCTTCTTTTGAGAAGTGTCTGTTCATATCCTTCACCCACTTGTTGATGGGGTTGTTTGTTTTTGTCTTGTAAATTTGTTTGAGTTCATTGTAGATTCTGGATATTAGCCCTTTGTCAGATGAGTAGGTTGCAAAAATTTTCTCCCATTTTGTAGGTTTCCTCTTCACTCTGATGGTAGTTTCTTTTGCTGTGCAGAAGCTCTTTAGTTTAATTCGATCCCGTTTGTCAATTTTGTCTTTGGTTGCCATTGCTTTTGGTGTTTTAGACATGAAGTCCTTGCCCATGCCTATGTCCTGAATGGTAATGCCTAGGTTTTCTTCTAGGGTTTTTATGGTTTTGGGTCTAACGTTTAAGTCTTTAATCCATCTTGAATTGATTTTTGTGTAAGGTGTAAGGTAGGGATCCAGTTTCAGCTTTCTACATATGGCTAGCCAGTTTTCCCAGCACCATTTATTAAATAGGGAATCCTTTCCCCATTGCTTGTTTTTGTAAGGTTTGTAAAAGATCAGATAGTTGTAGATATGCGGCGTTATTTCTGAGGGCTCTGTTATGTTCCATTGATCTATGTCTCTGTTTTGGTACCAGTACCATGCTGTTTTGGTTACTGTAGCCTTGTAATATAGTTTGAAGTCAGGTAGTGTGATGCCTCCAGCTTTGTTCTTTTGGCTTAGGATTGACTTGGTGATGCGGGCTCTTTTTTGGTTCCACATGAACTTTCAAGTAGTTTTTTCCAACTCTGTGAAGAAAGTCATTGGTAGCTTGATGGGGATGGCATTGAATCTATAAATTACCTTGGGCAGTATGGCCATTTTCACGATATTGATTCTTCCTACCCATGAGCATGGAATGTTCTTCCATTTGTTTGTATCCTCTTTTATTTCCTTGAGCAGTGGTTTGTAGTTCTCCTTGAAGAGGTCCTTCACGTCCCTTGTAAGGTGGATTCCTAGGTATTTTATTCTCTTTGAAGCAATTGTGAATGGGAGTTCACTCATGATTTGGCTCTTTGTTTGTCTCTTGTTGGTGTATAAGAATGCTTGTGATTTTTGTACATTGATTTTGTATCCTGAGACTTTGCTGAAGTTGCTTATCAGCTTAAGGAGAGTTTGGGCTGAGACAATGGGGTTTTCTAGATATACAATCATGTCGTCTGCAAACAGGGACAATTTGACTTCCTCTTTTCCTAATTGAATACCCTTTATTTCCTTCTCCTGCCTAATTGCCCTGGCCAGAACTTCCAACACTGTTGAATAGGAGTGGTGAGAGAGGGCATCCCTGTCTTGTGCCAGTTTTCAAAGGGAATGCTTCCAGTTTTTGCCCATTCAGTATGATATTGGCTGTGGGTTTGTCACAGATAGCTCTTATTATTTTGAGATACATCCCATCAATACCGAATTTATTGAGAGTTTTTAGCATGAAGGGCTGTTCAATTTTGTCAAAGGCCTTTTCTGCATCTATTGAGATAATCATGTGGTTTTTGTCTTTGGTTCTGTTTATATGCTGGATTACATTTATTGATTTGCATATACTGAACCAGCCTTGCATCCCAGGGATGAAGCCCACTTGATCATGGTAGATAAGCTTTTTGATGTGCTGCTGGATTCAGTTTGCCAGTATTTTATTGAGGATTTTTGCATCAATGTTCATCCAGGATATTGCTCTACAATTCTCTTTTTTGGTTGTGTTTCTGCCCGGCTTCGGTATCAGGATGATGCTGGCCTCATAAAATGAGTTAGGGAGGATTTCCTCTTTTTCTATTGATTGGAATAGTTTCAGAAGGAATGGTACCAGTTCCTCCTTGTACCTCTGGTAGAATTTGGCTGTGAATCCATCTGGTCCTGGACTCTTTTTGGTTATTAAGCTATTGATTATTGCCACAATTTCAGCTCCTGTTATTGGTCTATTCAGAGATTCAACTTCTTCCTGGTTTAGTCTTGGGAGAGTGTATGTGTCGAGGAATTTATCCATTTCTTCTAGATTTTCTAGTTTATTTGCGTAGAGGTGTTTGTAGTATTCTCTGATGGTAGTTTGTATTTCTGTGGGATTGGTGGTGATATCCCCTTTATCATTTTTTATTGTGTCTATTTGATTCTTCTCTCTTTTTTTCTTTATTAGTCTTGCTAGCAGTCTATCAATTTTGTTGATCCTTTCAAAAAACCAGCTCATGGATTCATTAATTTTTTGAAGGGTTTTGTATGTCTCCATTTCCTTCATTTCTGCTCTGATTTTAGTTATTTCTTGCCTTCTGCTAGCTTTCGAATGTGTTTGCTCTTGCTTTTCTAGTTCTTTTAATTGTGATGTTAGGGTGTCAGTTTTGGATCTTT
Source organism: Homo sapiens (assembly GCF_000001405.40). Taxonomy (NCBI): domain Eukaryota; kingdom Metazoa; phylum Chordata; class Mammalia; order Primates; family Hominidae; genus Homo; species Homo sapiens. Next base: position 131,355,300 of record NC_000004.12, on the reverse strand, counting down.
CCTGCTTTCTCTTGTGGGCATTTAGTGCTATAAATTTCCCTCTACACACTGCTTTGAATGCGTCCCAGAGATTCTGGTATGTTGTGTCTTTGTTCTTGTTGGTTTCAAAGAACATCTTTATTTCTGCCTTCATTTCATTATGTACCCAGTAGTCATTCAGGAGCAGGTTGTTCAGTTTCCATGTAGTTGAGCGGTTTTGAGTGAGTTTCTTAATCCTGAGTTCTAGTTTGATTGCACTGTGGTCTGAGAGATAGTTTGTTATAATTTCTGTTCTTTTACATTTGCTGAGGAGAGCTTTACTTCCAACTATGTGGTCAATTTTGAAATAGGTGTGGTGTGCTGCTGAAAAAAATGTATATTCTGTTGATTTGGGGTGGAGAGTTCTGTAGATGTCTATTAGGTCCGCTTGGTGCAGAGCTGAGTTCAATTCCTGGGTATCCTTGTTGACTTTCTGTCTCATTGATCTGTCCAATGTTGACAGTGGGGTGTTAAAGTCTCCCATTATTAATGTGTGGGAGTCTAAGTCTCTTTGTAGGTCGCTCAGTACTTGCTTTATGAATCTGGGTGCTCCTGTATTGGATGCATATATATTTAGGATAGTTAGCTCTTCTTGTTGAATTGATCCCTTTACCATTATGTAATGGCCTTCTTTGTCTCTTTTGATCTTTGTTGGTTTAAAGTCTGTTTTATCAGAGACTAGGATTGCAACCCCTGCCTTTTTTTGTTTTCCATTTGCTTGGTAGATCTTCCTCCATCCTTTTATTTTGAGCCTATGTGTGTCTCTGCACGTGAGATGGGTTTCCTGAATACAGCACACTGATGGGTCTTGACTCCTTATCCAATTTGCCAGTCTGTGTCTTTTAATTGGAGCATTTAGTCCATTTACATTTAAAGTTAATATTGTTATGTGTGAATTTGATCCTGTCATTATGATGTTAGCTGGTTATTTTGCTCGTTAGTTCATGCAGTTTCTTCCTAGTCTCAACGGTCTTTACATTTTGGCATGATTTTGCAGCAGCTGGTATCGGTTGTTCCTTTCTATGTTTAGCGCTTCCTTCAGGAGCTCTTTTAGGGTGGGCCTGGTGGTGACAAAATCTCTCAGCATTTGCTTGTCTGTAAAGGATTTTATTTCTCCTTCACTTATGAAGCTTAGTTTGGCTGGATATGAAATTCTGGGTTGAAAATTCTTTTCTTTAAGAATGTTGAATATTGGCCCCCACTCTCTTCTGGCTTGTAGAGTTTCTGCCAAGAGATCCGCTGTTAGTCTGATGGGCTTCCCTTTGTGGGTAACCTGACCTTTCTCTCTGGCTGCCCTTAACATTTTTTCCTTCATTTCAACTTTGGTGAATCTGACAATTATGTGTCTTGGAGTTGCTCTTCTTGAGGAGTATCTTTGTGGCGTTCTCTGTATTTCCTGAATCTGAATGTTGGCCTGCCTTGCTAGATTGGGGAAGTTCTCCTGGATAATATCCTTCAGAGTGTTTCCCAACTTGGTTCCATTCTCCCCATCACTTTCAGGTACACCAGTCAGACGTAGATTTGGTCTTTTCACATAGTCCCATATTTATTGGACGCTTTGCTCATTTCTTTTTATTCTTTTTTCTCTAAACTTCCCTTCTCGTTTCATTTCATTCACTTCATCTTCCATCGCTGATACCCTTTCTTCCAGTTGATCGCATTGGCTCCGAGTCTTCTGCATTCTTCACGTAGTTCTCGAGCCTTGGTTTTCAGCTCCATCAGCTCCTTTAAGCACTTCTCTCTATTTGTTATTCTAGTTATACATTCTTCTAAACTTTTTTCAAAGTTTTCAACTTCTTTGCCTTTGGTTTGAATTTCCTCCTGTAGCTCAGAGTAATTTGATCATCTGAAGCCTTCTTCTCTCATCTCGTCAAAGTCATTCTCCCTCCAGGTTTGTTCCATTGCTGGTGAGGAACTGCCTTCCTTTGGAGGAGGAGAGGCACTCTGCTTTTTAGAGTTTCCAGTTTTTCTGCTCTGTTTTTTCCCCATCTTTGTGGTTTTATCTACTTTTGGTCTTTGATTATGGTGATATACAGATGGGTTTTTGTTGTGGATGTCCTGTTTGTTAGTTTTCCTTCTAACAGACAGGACCCACAGCTGCAGGTCTGTTGGAGTACCTGGCCGTGTGAAGTGTCAGTCTGCCCCTGCTGGGGGGTGCCTCCCAGTTAGGCTGCTCGGAGGTCACGGGTCAGGGACCCACTTGAGGAGGCAGTCTGCCCGTTCTCAGATCTCCAGCTGCCTGCTGGGAGAACCACTGCTCTCTTCAAAGCTGTCAGACAGGGACATTTAAGTCTGCAGAGGGTACTGCTGTCTTGTTTATCTGTGCCCTTCCCCCAGATGTGGAGCCTACAGAGGCAGGCAGGCCTCCTTGAGCTGTGGTGGGCTCCACCCAGTTGGAGCTTCCCGGCTGCTTTGTTTACCTAAGCAAGCCTGGGCAATGGCGGGCGCCCCTCCCCCAGCCTCACTGCTGCCTGCCTTGCAGTTTGATCTCAGACTGCTGTGCTAGCAATCAGCGAGACTCCGTGGGCTTAGGACCCTCCGAGCCATGTGCGGGATATAATCTCCTGGTGCGCCGATTTTTAAGCCCATCGGAAAAGCGCAGTATTCGGGTGGGAGTGACCTGATTTTCCAGATGCCGTCTGTCACCCCTTTCTTTGACTAGGAAAGTGAACTCCCTGACCCCTTGGCACTTCCCGTGTGAGGCAGTGCCTCGCCCTGCTTCGGCTCGCGCAGGGTGCATGCACCCACTGACCTGCGCCCACTGTCTGGCACTCCCTAGTGAGATGAACCCGGTACCTCAGATGGAAATGCAAAAAATCACCCGTCTTCTGCATCGCTCAGGCTGGGAGCTGTAGACCAGAGCTGTTCCTATTCAGCCATCTTGGCTCCCTCTTACCTAGAGTTTCTTAGAAATGCAGATTTTGTGCTTCATGCTAGGACTACTAAATCAGATTTTCAAATTAACAGAACTCAGTTGTTTTATATGCACAGTAAATTTTGAATAGAACTGCTCTGTAAGGCTAAGATAATAAAGATGATCCAGACTGTGCTTTTATAAATTGTTTTTCAAATAAAATTTCAACAACTGACAATACCTCTAAAGAAGTCAAGCATAGATTAATTTAAGAAACATGACCCCCAAATTTATACTGTTACTATTGCCTACAGACTGAAATAAAGCTGCTTTAAATTCTAGCAACTGGGCCGCTTTCTCTCTGCTTCAGAAAACAGGGATCTTCCTTTGGTTAGGTAGTTTAAACTTTTTGGTGGGGGCATAGTAAATTTCAGTTTTTATTTCTTAGTACTCTTTATTCATTTATAAAAACATTCTAGCTATATAAGAATTCTTGAAAATTGTTCACTTTGTAAGTGGCCATTAAAGGAGTTGTCTTGTTTAGTTTTTGTTTTTGTTTTATCTGTACACTTAAGCTTCTAGGCCTTTATAGTGAAGATTAATTTGTGAAAAAGAGGTTTAAGAGAAGCTGGGAGACACTAAATAGATTGACATAAACAAAAAGGAGATCTACATAGAAGAGAAAATATATAAACTATGGAAGTTGGAGGAAAAGAGAAGCAACAGAGGAAAATGAGAGAGAACTAGCACTGGGAGTACAGTTAACAATGAGCAAAGGGGTTTGGAGATAAGGCTGCTGGATAAATGGGACTTAGAGATAGTCCCATATCTGAAACAATTTTATGAGAAATGTTGCTCTGTGTTGTGTGAAAATAGTTCATTTCCACCTAATCTCCTTTGCAGGCATTTCATTTTTAAAAATTGATTTTTTTTCCAAATTTTTAATTTAGATGTGTTTTTTCTTAATAAAAAATCGGTAAGAAAAAAAATCCAGTATGTAATGGTCAACAAAACAGGAAGATATGGATAATTAACAATCTTCACAGAAACTCTTCAAAATAAGCTTTAATAACCTCATTTTACAGAGAAAGGATCTGATATTTTAAAAAAGTTAAATAGCAGCATGATCCACACCTGTGTTTAATGAGCGAAAGCCCAGGTTTTTCAGCCCCAAAACTAGCGTGAGTTTCACCATTGGATTTCAACCATGGCAGCATTTTAGCCTCTCATGGGACGCTTATACAAATAGCAGTGTCTGGGCTCTAACCAAGTAATTGAAGCACAATCTCTGGAGGTGATGCCAGGGTTACGAATCTTCACGCTATGCTGCTGAAAAGCGGCATTTGGCATTAATCTACTGTCTATCAGTTAAAATCAAATGAATATTACCCAAAATTAAGATTTCCAAAAAATCTAGATTTCTTCCAGTATCTGTCTTTTCTGTTAGAGTAATACTTTTCCTAGTGCCCAAAACTCAGAAAAAAAACAAAGTTCATTTATTAGCCTCAATCATACAACGCTCAAAACTTTCTTTAGAACTGTGTAAATATAATCTTGCAGCAAAATGTGTAAAGAGGTCAGTGAAAATATGAATCTTTTTTTATTTTCTCTATGGCTACCCCGACCACATCCTATAACCCACTCCAACAACCAACCTTATCAAAGATTTTTTTAAGGAGGTAAATTAAGATCCTCAAATGATAGTAATCAGCCAACCAAATCAAAAAAGGTCTTTGGGAAACATATCTTCACCAGTTATATTTGTGTAGAAATTAAAAATCAGCAAACCCAGTATTTTAGAACTGGGAGAAATAAAACAAAAATGTTTGCTTTACTTTGGGCATCTGTGCTAGAATAAAATATATTGTACAAGCAGTATGGCTTAAAGTTTTGAAGTATATATGTATGGTATGGTTTCTGGTTTTACTTTACCAATAGTGTAACAAAGGTCAAGTCACTGAGCTTTTATTATTATTTATTTTAAAATGGAAATAAGAAAATTTGCAGTCTATCTTACAGAGTGTTTGGAGAACAGAATATTTATGATACTCAAAATATTTTCTAAGCCATAATATGTGACCTATTATATTTAATCCACCACTATAAGAAAATAAAGCAAATATATATCATAATGTGTTCTACACTACAGTTTTCTAATGTGACCTTAAAGAGTAGGCATCATTTCTGAACTTTTTGTAAATAATATCTTCAGAAAGGTTTTTGAGTGGTATTCACATTGAAAACTTTAAATATATGAATTATATAATTGGGTTTTATATCACATTGCATATTTTAATAAGTTAGTGATCTCGAAATTATACAAACATAAAGAAAATAGAATATGGTAAATCTGAATAATATTAGGTACATACTAATAAAATGTAATTTACACCACTTAATCAGAATTTAACCAATAATAGTCATACCTAGAGGCCAATTAAAATTTCCTGTCTTTAATTTTGCTCTTGCAAGTATCTGCAACTTCTTTCTCTGCTTTCCACCTGGTTGGAAATCAAATCCATTGCCGAAAGACAATCTAACCTTTAACTTGTTACCAAGAGAATTTACTGAGCATGTTTATGTTGAATTCAAATGCGACTAGAGAGAAGGGTAAATTATCTGAGGTGGGCTTGAAGGTAAACAGCTGTCAGTGAACTATGAATCATCTCAAAGGCACATTAGCTAAACTCATTTATAAAAGGAAAATTGTTTTGCATGTTGAAAGAAATAACCACAAGGACCCTGCGCTTGCTCTTAATTTGCTGTCTGTAAGTCAAAACTTCCTTGGGGAATCAATATGATGAGCTGTTTTAGTTTTAGTGTATTTTTTTAAAAAGAATTTTTTCCAGTTCCTGAAATGAATATGAAGAGGAAAATCAAAATGCCCTTCTTTCACAGAGAGGTAGTAAAATGTGAGCACTACTATTCTGGGTTGAAGTCTGACCTGGATTTAATTGCTTAAAACTGCTCTACTAGTACTCAATTTGGCTTTTTGTTTGTTTTCAAAATAAAACTTTTCAGTAAATTCTGATCAAAATAAATAATGCTTTATTTTATACTTAATTAATATTATAATGTTTATTTTAATGTGAACATTAAATCAGGTTTCTCTTTCTTTAAATTCATAAACTATGAAAAAATCTTGATTCACTCAGATGAATGGTTCAAAATATAAATGCTTCTTTTTTTTTAACATTATGCCTTCTACTTTAAAAGATGCAATTGATTTAAACAGAAATGGCAGGAGAAACTTTATCCTGATGTCTGAAACAAAAATAAAAATAAAAATAAACAGGGCCAGGTGCAGTGGCTCACACCTGTAATCCAAGCACTCTGGGAGGCCAAGGCGGGCAGATCACGAGGTCAGGAGATCGAGACCATCCAGTCTAACACGGTGAAACCCCGTCTCTACTAAAAATACAAAAAATTGGCTGGTCATGGTGGTGGGCGCCTGTAGTCCCAGCTACGAGGGAGGCTGAGGCAGGAGAACAGCGTGAACCCGGGAGGTGGAGCTTGCAGTGAGCCCAGATAGTGCCACTGCACTCCAGCCTGGGTGACAGAGTGAGACTCTGTCTCAAAAAAAAATAAATAAATAAAAATAAACAGTTAATCCAGCAGCTAAGATCACAATGGGTTACAGACTTCTACATAATATTTTTGAGCCTTTGTGTTTTTTATTGTTGTTTTAAAATATTTAAAATTAAATTGAATTAGAATTAAACACTATACCTGTTAAGTTATGTTTGGCCTAAAGCTGCCTCCTTTACTTAAGTTTGGCCTGAAGATTTCTTCATACATAATGAACTGTAACTCAACTTGATGTGTAAATGGACTAACCTATGCTTGTAACAAGTAGCTGAGTCTCAGGCAATAAGAGCAGCCAAACTTTAGTCAACTATAGGCAGCTAAGTGTGTAAAGCAGGTTCAAATAAGGCAAATGCTGAGCTGTAACCAATCTGGGTGTTTCTGTATCTCACTTCTATTTTCTGTTTGCATCACTTTTCACTTTCTGTCCTTAAACGTTATCTGACCATGTGGCAGCCCTGTAGTTGCTCTGAACTTATTCTGGTCTGGGGGCTGCTCAATTTGCAAATCACTCTTTGCTCAATTAAAATTTTCTACGTTTAATTTGTCTAAAGATTTATTTTAACAGAGCATTGAGGCATTTCTGGAGAAACCTGAATTTTCACCATATACAATTTACAAATGCTGCTTTAAAGATTTTCTAGTTAGGCAATTTGAAAAACTGTGAAAAGAGGGTAATTAGATCATTCATTTATAAAAACCCAGTGTGAAATTCTACTAAAATGCATTGTTTAATTAAAAATACATGTTAAGAGCAATGCACTTTGACTGATAACTTAGAACTTACTAATTACCTTTCCATCTTTCTCATAGTCCTTGGCTGCTCTTTTACTTTCTCTTCGTTATCTGCATATTGACTTCTTTCATAATCTTTGCTTTCTTTGACACTGTTTCTACTATTGTACTTCTCTTTGTAGTTTATCACCATCTACTCGTTTATTCTCAGCCTATATGTTCTTATACTTCCCCCTTTTCTGATTTCTCTTGTCATTTATCTTATCTAATGTTTACTTTTCCTAAAATATAGCAGTAAATCATAAACATATTGCTCACATATTACATGCATATTTAACTAACATAATTTTAAATAACTGAGTTCACATCCATATTTAATTTTGCATAGTTGGGGCACAAAGAATGATACTAAAGTATGATGCTTTGGCATGCTGAGCACTTTTGAGTGAAAGAAAATCAGAAGGTTTTAGAAGCTCAGAACCAAGGACTTTCTAATCTTCTCTTGCCCCTCTCCCAAAAGTAGGAAGGGGTCTTTCTGGGAGTTCCTTTACCTGACTGAGGAAAAGTTCCTCCCCCCGCCAAAAACAAAAAATGTAGCTTGGGAAACTTGAATTTCCACAAAATGCAATTTGCTGAATACTGCTATAAAGATTTACAAGTCAGGCAATTTGAAGAATTGCAAAGAGATTAGATTAGATAATTGAATTAAATAATTCATTTACAATCATTCATTCTTCCAAAAGAAATGCAATTGTCTTAAAAACTTCTCCACAGGAATCTTATCAAATAAGCATGTTGGACTGACCACCAGAGAAAAGAAGAGACTAAAAGTTGTCATCATGCCCAGACAGACTTTTAATCTATTCTTCTGAGAGAAGCCCAGAGATACTAAGAGACTTTATCCGCATAACAAGACAACCTTTGTTTAAATTGCAGTTCTACCTCTCACCTTCCATAATTTGATCACATTCAGTGTCCAAAGAGAATCATTTACAAGCTATTGTCTGTTGTTTAGATCCATTCACTGTCTCTAAAAACTATTTACAACCTCTCAAAATTACTTACATTTTCCCCATCTCCCTTTCCCCTGTGAAGCTCCCCTATAAACTTCAACCATCTGTTGTTTCTTTGTTTCTCATATTTTGTATGGCTCTCATGACTATGCGCATCAATGACTTTGTATGTCTTTTCTCCTGTTTATCCATCTATTGTCAGTTTATTTCAGTAGACTCAAACCTTTGAGGGTTGGGAGAAGAATTCTCCCCGTCCCTAGAGTTTTGCAAATCAATATTCTCTTTCAAGAAATGAATTACAGAATTGAAGGCTTGGTTTTCAGTTGCCAAAGTGAATCAGTGCTTCACAGATGCATTTTATTTAAAATCTTAAAGAGGTCCACAGCCTGTTCAATTTGTAGGAAGTGCTATTAACAGGTTGTGCCTGGGACTTAGGCAGGTAGATGTGATCTAGGGATACACTGCTGCCAGTCAGCAAACATCAGAAGCAAAGACATATGAATAGTATGAGACCTTTAGGTCCTATTGTCAGAGTTCCTCACTGAAAGGAAAGAAACAAAAGTTTAGAGCTCAGTTTATCAAGCTTTGGTAAATGACATTTGCATTAATAAATATTGATAATAAGAAATAGGACAGAAAACAGACAGGGCTACCCTCTATAACTTCTCTGAAGACTTTTATGAAAAGAAGTATCAGTGCCTGATTCCAATTACCTTTACTTATAAAGTTGTGGTAGCATTATACCTCTCTTAAACTCAATTTATCTTTCTCTTTTTATACAAACATTGATACCATTAGTAATTAAAACAGTCGATACTCTCTAAATAAGCTTTGCTTCATGGGTTGAGCTGTAGCCACATACTTGTAAAAATTTGGGATTAGTGGATGTTTAAGAAAAAATTAAAAAACAATTATTTGTGGGGTTTGGTTTCTTTCTGTTTTTTGTGTGTGTGTGTTGTGGGGGGATGAAAAAGTGGAATGGAACACAGTATTTTATATCTTATTAGGGCATTCGGTTTGTAAATTTTTAAATGTAAAGCTTAAGCATAAAAATAAACCTTTGGTATATCTGTTTTTGAAATATTTTCAGTGTCCCTAAGTGATGACTCAAACTTTGAAGACATTTTTGTTTAAACAAAAGAAAAGCTTATAAAGATTTGTTTGAAAATTATTGAATGTAAAGAGATGAGGATGATTTAAGTTTCAAGACATATGATAACCTCAATAGCAAAAATAAACATGTTGTTTTGTCAAACTGTTAACATGAGTAGACTATATACTGATTCTAATATTCCAGACAATGAAGAAACCATTGGTAGGTTTTTCTTATTATTATGCCAATCATTTTATGAGTAACACAAGGGAAATTATAATAAAAATTCTGGGAGTGAATGACAGTAATTTTTTCTCTTTTTCCAAATTAAGTCTGTTTTTAGAGTATGCAAATATGTCACCAGGATAAATGAGGTTCA